>NC_000002.12:53523685-53826715 GCF_000001405.40 Homo sapiens
ATATAATTAACGTTTGTATGTAATTAATTCTCAAAATGTTCTATGAGGCATGCTTCCCCAGGCTCTTTGATCTTGGACTTCCCATGCCCCAGAACTGTGAGGGTTCTCTTGCTGGCTAGCAAATGCCTGTCTTCTGGTTACATCCACATGTGGCATTTCTTTGTTGCATGCACACAGAGTGAGATCCTGCACCTCCACCTTTTTTCATAAGGGCATTCATCCCATAATGAGGGGCCCACACTTATGATCTTATGGTCTTATCTAACCCTAATTGGCCCCCAAAAGAACCCACCTCCAAATACCATCATACTGGGGATTGAGGCTACAACATATGAATTTTAGAGCAACACAAACATTCGTTGTAAAGCAGGCAGATATTCTTATCTTCATTTTACAGGCGAGAAATCAGAGGATAAGAGAGGTTAAATGGTTTGCCCAGAAGCAGAGGCCGTTGATTCCCATGTCCATTGCTGCTTCTGCATACCCTGCTGCCTCCATAGCAACAATACATTTTAGCAAATTTCTCATTATTTTTAGGTACAACTCCTTCTTCCATACTCCAGTTTTATCTGTTACCCTCTGGGCTATGATTAGTTGGAAACCTAATTAGTGAGCTAGTGACAATGAGGGTTTACATAGAGCAGATCATTATTTTCTTCCCAGTGAAAAGCAATTCAGAGGGACTTGAAGGTCAGGGGTTCTCCAAATCCCCTGGATTCTTCAAGACATTTTGATGATATTATCTGGATGATAATAATAATGGCTAAACATCCATTGGACACTTATTTTCTACACATTTAACTTGTATTAATTCATTTAATTCCCACCTAATGACCTTGTAAGGTAGATATTATCATCCCTATTTTACAAGTAAGCAAAAGGGAAAACTGAGGTACAGAAAGGCTAAGGCTACTTTTGCAAAAACCAGTTAGTGAATACTAAAACTTAAATTTGAGCCCAAGCAGAATGACTCTGGAGGCTGGTTGTTAACCACTCTGGTGCAATAATTTCTTTAATTAAGAAGGAAAGATGGGAGAATGGGTTATTTGAAAGGGCAGCATGTCGGAGCCTATCACCCCTCAACAAATCTCCACTAAAGGATCAACTCCCGAAAATTCTTCTCAGGGGTTCTGCTTCTCTGAAAAGATGAGGGACCATAAGATCTTCACCTTCCCAAACATAATGTGCAGAAAACCTCCCAGGGCCTTTGACATCCAGGCTCTCAATAATGTAAATAAATGCAGGTGGCAGGGTCTAACTACCCAGTAACCCATGAACCATTAATTGGAGCTATTTTCAGCTTCTAGGGAGCAATTCCAACTGCAAGATTCTCTGTAATAAAGGTCTGATGAATCAGCTGGTATGGGAGAGGGGGCATATTTGAGAATTCAGTAGGTAAAAATAGCATTAAAATAATTCAAGCCGAGAAGAAACATGACTGATGAAGCAGTATGTCAGGACATCTTCAGTCAGTCAATCAACAGGCTTAACTGAGGTCCCAGCACTCCTGCCTAGAGGACAGATGTTAGTATTGAGAAGGGATATAAAAGGGACAAAAGAAACACATGGTCTCCTCCCTCCATGAACTAATGATCCACAATAAACCTCAGTGGTCCAGGGTAGTTGGCAGGAAAGATGTTCTGGTCAATAAAATATGCTAGTTAGTTTGGCATTGCCACATAGATCATTCAAGGATTGTTAATTTCCTAGAATTAGAATAAAATAATATAGATGCCATATTTTTTAAAGAATCAAAAACTGAATAAAAACATCAAGAAACTTGTGATCTTCTCTGGTATCTGTATCACCAGGCTTCCTTTTCAGATGTTCTCCCTTAATCCCATTCAACACTTCCCTTACCATCTCTTACTGTTGAGCAACAGCATCATCTTCTCTCCATGTCCAAGCCTGCCAAACCTCCTGACAGGAGACACTCTGCAGGTACTGAAATCTTGATACAGACAATGTGTTTTTACATTTAATGACGTTCAGACTCTTGAACAAAAGATATGCATTTCCATGGTGAATTTTGGTCATTTGTTAATTAAATAGGGAAGGTTTTGGGGAGCAGGCAGTACTAAGTTTTTCTTCATATATCTCAACATTGTTCAAAAGGTTAAACCAAAAAATTATAATACTTTTAAAATGAGTAGGAAGATTAGATCAAATAAAATTATACAGATAATCAAAAAGAAATACTTGTCCATTTTAGTTTCAACTTCCTCAATACCTAACTGCAAATAATGGAGCCAGGCTGGGTAGAGATCATTCCCTATTTTTATAACTCCAACGTCTAGCACAACACTTATAAACATTTGAGAAATATTTGTTAAGCTGAACTAAAGATGATAATTGTACAACTTATTCTACTTCTTATCTTTTGTTTTTAATTTAATGGAAGCAGACTTCTTAATGAGAACTGAAGGGCTCAGAAGCAAAGCAACAGTAAAAAAAGAAAATAGAAATCAAGGAATCTAAATAATCCCCAAATTGGGCAATCAGTCCCTGAGAAATAGAGAATTAACTATCATTCTTTTAACTATAATTACAGCCTTATTAAAACCAATAATCACTATTGAGCAAGAACATACAGAATATTATTTGAACTTGCCTTTTCATGAAGTCTCAACACATTGATTCCATATAGAAGAAAATGTTATTGGTGTTGATGGTATTAAAAATAAGTAATACTGAAATATTACAATCTTTTTTAGACGAAAATATATGCAAATTACGGTGGAGAAGGGCAGAAAAAAACTTCGAAATATGTAAAGTGCTCTCTACCTAAGAAAAGATTTAGATCAATTAACTTTTTCACTTTCAGCAAAAGATGGCAGATTGAACACATGCATTTAATTCTCTTCTTTCCCTTAAGCTCTATACAATTACAAAAAAGGACAATTTTAAGTTTGAGTACATTCAAAATAACAATGGGGAAGAAGAGAATACTTTTATAAATTGGAAGTCAGAAAATCAAGTAAGTTAGTTATATAGTTGACTAGGTCCTAAGTAAGCTGAATCTAAGTCAGTAGGAAAAGAACAAAACAAATCAATTTATACCACAAACTCCCAAAAGGCTCAGACAGTAGTAGTGCCACGTATCTTTGGATATAAGGGTGAAAGTGAGGATTAAAAATAGGATGCCTGGATGAAAAACTATTTCAGAGAAAATAAGGTGACACCCAAGATTTCTCTCCTTCACTCTATACAACTGGGTGATTGCCCTTCCCCAGCTCTGGTAGAGGACTAAAGTTTCATTCTCTTGAGAATGTAAAATAGAGGACTTCTGGACCAGGAGACACTATGCTCGCTGAGGGAAAGGGTACTGTACTAAAATAAGGGAAATTAGGTGAATATATACATACCAATGTTAAGGCCCTCAGACGTTTTCCTCTGCTTGGTTGCCAGAATGCTCCCAGCCAGATACATATACAAACATAAACACAGACACAGAGGACATAGGAAGACCTTTCTTCAGAAATCTGACTAGTCCAAGAGAACAGACCTAATAAAACTGATAACTGGTATCAGAGGCTTCCCACGTTAAGATCTGGGAGCCCAGCCAGATCTCCCTATACTGAGAGGCCAGAGCAGACAAGCTCCATCTGTTCATAGTTTCCAGTCTTCTCTACACCCTCACACTTAAGTATAAGCAGACAGTCAAGAATTAACAGATATTTGATGAATGCTCTGTATGAAAGACAAGAGACTACAATAAACAAAAAAGCAGGTTGGGGGCTATGAGGAAGAAGAGGAAAACTTCAAAAAATGTTATAATTAACTGTTAGAGAGATAAAAGAATATGTTGCCTCCATAAAACAAGAAAGGTATTGTTCCATTTTTAAAAGGAGCAATCAAAAACAAAAAAATAGCTCTTAGAAATTAAAAGTATAACAAAAATGAAAAATTCACAGACAGGATGGAAAGTAATTTTGAGGAAATGTTACAAAAGAGAGAAATACAACAGAGATGGAAAATAGGAAGAAAAATAAATAAAAATTTGTATATCAATCCAGGATTTTTAGCTTTCAAATAATAAGAATTCTAGAAAGGAGAGAGAAACAGAGGAGAGAAAATCAAAAACATAATTCAAGAAAATCCCTCATGACTAAAAGACAGAATTTTCTAGACTGAAAGTATCCAGTAAAAGGGATAAAAATTATCACACATCCAGACATATATCATCATGAAGATTCTGGAAGACAAAGAGAAAATACTACAAGTCTTCAGAGAAGGGAAAAGAAACAATTTTCATACACAAGATCAAAAATCAGGCTGGGCACAGTGGCTCACACCTGTAATCCTAGCACTTTGGGAAGCTGAGGCAGGCAGATTGCCTGAGCTCAGGAGTTCGAGACCAGCCTGGGCAACATGGTGAAATCCCAGTCTCTACTAAAATACCAAAAATTAGCCAGGCATGGTAGCATGTGCCTTTATTTCCAGCTACTCAAGAGGCTGAAGCATGAGAATCACTTGAACCCAGGAGGTGAAGGTTGCAGTGATCTAAGATTCTGCCACTGCACTCCAGTCTCGAAAACAGAGCAAGACTCTGTCTAAATAAATAAATAAATAAATAAATAAATAAAAATAAAATAATTCAGTGTGGCAGTGACTTCTTAACATCATCTCCTAGATGTAAAAGATAATGAAGGAATGCCATTAAAATAACGATGGAAAAAAAATTTCCAACCTAAAATTCTATACCCAGCCAAATTATCGATTCAGTGTGAAGACAGAATAAAGACATGTTCAGATATTCAACATTTCAAAATTTTTCATTCTCGCATACCTTTTCTCAGGAATGTACTGGAATATGAAATGAAATGAAAATGAAAGAGAAAAATAAGAATGGATGATAAACATAATCAAAGGAAAGCCAGAAGGCTGGGCACAGTGGCTCATGCCTGTAATCCCAGCACTTTGGGAGGGTGAGGCGGGCGGATCATGAGGTCAGGAGATCGAGACCATCCTGGCTAACACGGTGAAACCCCATCTCTACTAAAAATACAAAAAAATTAGCCAGGCGTGGTGACAGGCGCCTGTAGTCCCACCTACTCGGGAAGTTGAGGCAGGAGAATGGCATGAACCTGGGAGGTGGAGCTTGAACTGAGCGGAGATCATGCCGCTGCACTCCAGCCTGGGTGACAGAGCGAGACTCTGTTTCAAAAAAAAAAAAAAAAAAAGGAAAGCCAGAGAATAGTGAAAGTGACAGAGAGCCTCGGCACGATGGTTAAGGGAGATGCAATGCAACATAACAGCTGTGCCTCAGGTCTAAAGATCAAGCAGTACAGATCAGTGCAGACCCAAAATTCTAGGGGAGATTTTTTTCAAAAAAACAAAATTGGTAGATGGCCTAATATGTTTAAATGTATTGAGATAAGCTATGCACAACTGAGGAGGGCTTTGGGTTGAATCAGCAATTCATACATAGAAAAATAAGCAAATATATAAGTTTAAAACATATTATTAACTTTGAGAAAAACAAAATCTTATAAAGGGAGCAAAATTGATAATAGTATACTACCTGGCTCACTGAATTTACATTAACATAGGTTTAAGATTGTAAATACAGCAAGAGGAGAGAAGTTTCTACGTATCTTATATGTAGAAACAGTCATTACTTCCAGCATATGTGGTAGGTTAAATCCTTGTCTTACATAAAAGAAAGTTAGTAGCTAATGTCGAAAACTAAAAACTCAAGAAGTCGTAGTACCAGCATTTTATTTAGAAACGTGGAGGTGAAAAACAGTTGCCTCCTGGGAATGCAAAATATCAGGCTGTAAGATGACCGGTCAGCTGTTTCTCATTACAAGCTGTGTAACACTCTGACTCTTCAAATATGTATATGTATTACTTTGATAAAATTTTAAACTTCACAAAAAAAGAATTTCCCGACTCTGAAAACTGTGCAAATTTAGAATGTTGTCACGTAATAAAAATAACTGACAATTAGTTAGAATGAACCACAAATTCTTCTGGTTTACATGCATTCACTTATTTAATGCAAAGCAACCCTATGAAGTCGATACTTTTATCTCTTACCATTTTTAATCTTTTCCTCAGGAATTGAGGCTTAGAGAAACTAACTGGCAATGTTCACTTAGTGAATAATAAAGCCAGGATTTCATGGAGTAGGGAACCCCAGAAACTACTCTTTCGAGTATTGTGTCTGGAGAATTTTAAGAAAATCTTTTCCCTTCCATAGGGTGATGCCCATGAGACTCCTCCCATCTGGAACACTCTCCTCCATTCCACCTCATCAAATTAACTTTCATTCATCCTTCCATCAAGTCTTTCCTAACCTACAAGTCTAGGTTTGTCTTCTTCATTGCATGTGCTTACAAAACTTGGTGCCCTCCTTCAGAGCATTTCATTATTACCATAGTCATATACTTCATATCTGTGATTAGTTATTTAGCATATGTTATCTCCCCAACTAGAATTAGTGTTCCATGAGGACAGGAATCACATCTGATTTCACTCAACACTATTGCCCTAACACCTACAAGAATAGATAAATGAATGAATAAACAAATTCATGAACAGACAATCTAAGTTCCTGATACATGGTTTAATATATTCTCTCAGGGCAACCAGACTACCCTTTGTGGTTCTTGTCATTCCTAAGAATCTAAGCTTCCAGCTTCCCCAGGGACACCAGATGAATCAAATCTTGGTAATGCCAGCCAACACACTCTTTCAAAGAGAAAGATTCCCCTGCCTGCACAAATGACAAAAATAGTTTATTTGATTGTTTCTTTGTTTTGTTTTGTTTTGTTTTTTTGACAAGAATGAGACTTTAATCAGTTTTAAGTAGAGTTTATAACACTAAGAGATAAAGGGTTATTAACAAACACAATAACAAGTGGACCTCTGATTGGGATGAGGCATTATCCTGTACACATCATATTGGTATTTTTGTGTACCCTCAGTGCTAGAAATTTTGTTTTGTTTTCTAAGGAGGATGGGTTGTTAAGGTTTATCAAGAGTAGTGAAAAAGGTATTTGTATTCCCTGAGCCAGGATTTCCTTTCACCTTCCCATCATTCTATATCTCTGCCTCTGAGAAAAGGGAGATACTAACTACTGAAAGAATACTAGGGGACAGAAGTCGGCATTCTGAACTCAAGTCCTCTCTCAGAAGGTGGGAAATGATGAAGAACTGAATCACTTCTCTGCTGGATGCTTTATCATGTGCAGTTGACCCTTGAACAACACAGGTTTGAACTGCACAGGACCACTTAGACACAGATTTGTTCAATAAATATTGAAAAATTTTTGGAGATTTACCACCATTTGAGAAAACTTGCAGATGAATCTTGTAGCCTAGAAATATTTAAAATTTTTGAGAAAAAGTTAGGTAAGTCATAAATTCATAAAATATATGTAGATATTAGTCTATCATTTACTACCATAAATATACACAAATCTATTATAAAAAGTTAAAATTTATCAAAACATATGCACACAAACACTTCAGACCATACATGGTGGTGCCATTTGCAGTCAAGAGAAATTTAAACAAACATAAAGGTGTAGTATTAAATCATAACTGCATGAATGTAACTGTAGTACAATTCATATTATTGCAATTATTTCCTAGCTACCTTCTCTTGCTATTTTTTTTTTTTTTGAGACGGAGTCTTGCCCTGTCACCCAGGCTGGAGGGCAGTGGCGTGATCTCAGCTCACTGCAACCTCCGTCTCCTGGATTCAAGGGATTCTCCTGCCCCAGCCTCCCGAGTAGCTGCGATTACAGGAACACACTGCCATGCCCAGCTAATTTTTTGTATCTTTAATAGAGATGGGGTTTTACCATGTTGGCCAGGCTGGTCTCGAACTCCTGACCTCATGATCCACCCACCTAGGCCTCCCAAAGTGCTGGGATTACAGGTGTGAGCCACAGCGCCTGGCCTTCTCTTGCTATTGCAATGAAGTAGTACCACTAGTAATGCTGGAAGTGCTCCCAAGAAGAAAAGTCATGACATTACGAGAAAAAGTTAAATTGCTTGATATGTACCATAGATTGAGGTCTGTAGCTGTGGATGCTCACAAATTGGAGATAAATGAAGCCAGTATAATGACCGATGTAAAAAACAAAAAGGAAATTTGTGACACCTTCACTGCAGCTATACCAGCATGCACGAAAACCTCGTACTTTTTGCAACATACATTTTTATCTCGTATTAAAAATTCAGCTTTTATATAGTTGCAGGATTGCTATAAGAAAGGCACGCCTATGGACTCTAATATGATTTGAGAAGAAAATGAAGTCATTATATTACAACTGAAAGCAAAAGGAAGATGAAGGATCTAAAGTTGGAGAATTTAACACCAGCAAAGGATGGTTTGATAATTTTTGAAAGAGGTTTGGCTTTAAAAATGTCAAGATAACAGGAGAAGCAGCTTCTGCTGAACAAGAGTCAGCAGACAAGTTCCCAGATGCCATTAAGAAAATCATTGAGGAGAAAGGATATTTGCCTGATCAGGTTTTTAATGCAGACAAAAGTGTTCTACTCTGGAAAAAAGAGAGAGAGAGAGAAGCAAACACCAGGATTAAAGGCAGGAAGAGATTGGCTAACTCTACTGTTATGTGCAAATGCAGTTGAGTTTAAAACAGGACTGCCCTTATCTATAAAGCTGCTAACCCCTGAGACTTGAAAGGAAAAGATAAACACCAGCTTCTAGTCTTTTGGTTGTACAAAAAGAAGGGCTATACAGTGAGAACATTTTCTCTGGATAGGTTCCATCAATTCTTTGTTCCTGAAGTCAGGAAGTACCTTGCCAGTAAGGGACTGTTTTTTAACGTTCTTTTGATATTGGACAATGCCCCCAGCTACCCAGAACCCCATGAGTTTAACACTGAAAAAATGTGGTATACTTGCCCCCAAACACATCTCTAATTCAGGTCGGGGGCTCTTAACGACTTTAAGGCTCATTACACACAGTACTGCATGAAAATGATTCTTTTTTTTTTCTTTAAAAAAATTTTTTTTTACTATACTTCAAGTTCTGGGATACATGTGCAGAACGTGCAGGTTTGTTACGTAGGTATACATGTGCTATGGTGGTCTGCTGCACCCATCAACCCATCATCTACATTAGGTATTTCTCCTAATGCTATCCCTCCCCTTGCCCCCGACCCAATGACAGGCCCCAGTGTGTGATGTTCCCCTCCCTGTGCCCATATATTCTCATTGTTCAACTCCCACTTATGAGTGAGAACATGCGGTGTTTGGTTTTTTGTTCCTGTGTTAGTTTGCTGAGAATGATGGTTTCCAGCTTCATCCATGTCCCTGCAAAGGACATGAACTCATTCTTTTTTATGGCTGCATAGTATTCCATGGTGTATATGTGCCACATTTTCTTTATCCAGTCAATCATTAATGGGTATTTGGCTTGGTTCAAAGTCTTTGCTATTGTGAATAGTGCTTCAGTAAACATACGTGTGCTTGTGTCTTTATAGTAGAATGATTTATAATCCTTTGGGTATATACCCAGTAATGGGATTGCTGGGTCAAATGGTATTTCTGGTTCTAGATCCTTAAGGAATTGCCACACTGTCTTCCACAATGGTTGAAGTAATTACACTCCCACCAACAGTGTAAAAGCATTCCTATTTCTCCACATCCTCTCCAGCATCTGTTGTTTCCTGACTTTTTAATGATTGCCATTCTAACTGGTGTGAGATGGTATCTCATTGTGGTTTTGATTTGCATTTCTCTGATGACCAGTGATGATGACCATTTTTTCATGTGTCTGTTGGCTGCATAGATGTTCGTGTCTGTTCATATCCTTTGCCCACTTTTTGATGGGGTTGTTTGTTTTTTCTTGTAAATTTGTTTAAGTTCCTTGTAGATTCTGGATAGTAGCCGTTTGTCAGATGGATAGATTGAGAAACTTTTCTCCCATTCTGTAGGTTGCCTGTTCACTCTGATGATAGTTTCTTTTGCTGTGCAGAAGCTTGTTAATTTAATTAGATCCCATTTGTCAGTTTTGGCTTTTGTTGCAATTGCTTTTGGTGTTTTAGTCATGAAGTCTTTGCCCATGCCTATGTACTGAATGATATTGCCTAGGTTTTCTTCTAGGGTTTTTATGGTTTTAGGTCTTACATTTAAATCTTTAATCCATCTTGAGCTAATTTTTGTATAAGGTGTAAGGAAGAGGTCCAGTTTCAGTTTTCTGCATATGGAAGAGAAACCTGAAAGAGAGAACACCATAAAAATCTGGAAGGATTCCAGGACTTTTGATGCCATTGTTGTTATAGAAAAAAAAAAGTTAAATCCTTCAAGCCCAAGCCATAACTTTCTGCTGGACAAAACTATATACAGATGTTGTTCATTACTTCATAGGCTTTCTGACAGTGCCTATGAAGAAAATCACAAAAGAGACTGTGGAAATGGCAAAAAAAAAAAAGTGGGGTATAAAAGGTTTGAAGATACGGATGTTGGAGAAATTCAAAAGCAAATAGACACTACACAAGAGAAATTAACAGAACAGGACTTGATGGAGATGAGCATTTCTGAATCAGTGCCAGACAACGAGGAAAAAGACATAAAAGCAGTGCCAGAAAAGAAGATGACATCAGACAACCTGACAGAAGGGTTCTGATTATTCAAGACTGATTTTAACTTCTTGTACAACATGGACCTTTCTATGATACAGGCACCAAAACTAAAGCAAAGGATTGAAGAAGGATTAGTACCTTATAGAAACATTTTTAGAGAAATGAAAAAGCAAAAAGTCAGAAAAATTATGATGTATTTCCATAAAGTTACACAGAGTGTGGCTGCCTCTCCTGCCTCCCCTTCTATCTCCTCCACTTGTTTTGCCTCTGCCACTCCTGAAACAGCAAGACCAATGCTCCTCTTTGTCGTCCTCCTCAGCCTACTCAATGTGAAGATGACAAAAATGAAGACCTTTATTATGATCCACTTCCAGTTAATGAATAGTAAATATATTATCTTTCTTATAATTTTCTGAATAATATTTTCATTTATCTAGCACACTTTATTGTAAGAATACAGCACATAATACATATAAAATACAAAATAGATAACATAATCAACTATATGTCATTGTTAAGGTCAACAGTGCTTATTAGTAGTTAAGTTTTAGGGGAGACATCAAAAGTTATACACAGATTTTAGACTGTGCAGGGGGTCAATGCCCCTAATACCTGCATTGTTCCAGGGTCAACTGTATACAGAAATCATCATTACTTCTGACTACCCAATTTCTTGTGGCAAAAGAAAGAAACTCTTCCAAACTGGTTACCTAATGATAAACCAAGGAACAGAAATGATTGATTAGCTAGAATTTTACTTTTTAAGCAATAGCAGTAATAGCATCCTATCTCTCCATACTTAAACATTTTCTTTCTCCTGAGGGCCTTCTCTGATCATCCTTGTAAGACAAAATTTATTCACATCTGTCTTTAGGTGACGGAATTTACACATATGAAGAAAGGCTAGGGTATCCAGACATGGGCAATGCTGCTCTTATTTGACTAATTAGAAAGACCCCTTCTAACCACCATGTCATTTAGTTGCAGACAAGTGGTTTTCCTTGGATTAATACAAATTAGTTTGTCTCTTTATTTCTTAACCAGCTGGATATACATTTTTCCATCTAACAGAAACACTCTATTCCATACAATTTAATAAGCACTAAAAGATTCAATGACATCTCACTCATCAGTGTTTTCAAAGAGTCTGCATATGGATGTGGATGTTTTGTCTTCTGTCATGTCATCATTAATGAAACTCAAAGACAGGCCTTTGGATGATGCTTCTTTATTTCTTTAGGTCTGCTTTACAGAGTACCTAGACTGATAGGGAAAAGATTCATCAAAGGCGCCATGATTTCACATTTCTTTGCCCTGCTTGTGTCCTTTCCCGTCCGTTATCCTCCCAGACATCTAAGGCCCTGTGTGTCTAGCTGTACTACTCTCCTCATTATCTGCTATTCCACTCTCGTCCATTGCCAGCTCAGGCTGCCCTTTGTTCTTTGGTTCTTTGTCTTTCATTCTCAGAGCCAAATATCAATACTGCTCACAATGTTCCAAATGTTCAGAATCAAAAGTCACATTACCAATTCTTTCTGAATATGCTGTCCATTTTTAAATTTTCTTTATTTATACTGACTCTTTTCACATGTAAGAAACATACACACATTTGCTTTCAGAGGCAGGTACACTTTGATCCTCCAAGAGACTGAAAAAAAAAATGCCTGTGGGTGCTGTAGGTTCATATTTTATGGCACATACAGACTTGACTTTCACTTCATTGCATCCTCATTTTAATCATTCATATTTAATGTTACATATACTTGACTCTTTGACTTTTTTAATCTCATATGCTGAGTGGTGCACAAATTAGTACCATATTCCACTATCCAGCCAACTTTTTATTATTTATCGGCATTGACTGAGCTATCATTGTCATCTATTCATTAGTTTGTGAAAGATTTAAGCCTCTTCTCATGTATAATCTAGCTGTTATTTATCATATTCTGTCAGTAACTCCTCTTTCTCGTGGTGTCTGCTTGCAGCAATAGATCATCTTCTGGTCTGAACTTCTCATGAATATAAGAACTTCTACTCTTTATCTACCAAGGTTAACCTCAACGGGACTCACTGCTTGGCTAGCTCAAACTCTGTCATCCTACTAACTAAGCAATGACATCTCATCACTAAACAGTCGTGATAACTGTCTAGTTCCTATAATTTCCACTGAAGAGAGCTACCAGGTGCCTTTCCAGAAACATTCTAGGAGAGCAGAACCAGCCCTTTAAGGAAACGAGATTTTATCTCATTTGGAAAAATCCTCAGCCCGTTAAAGTTTTTGGCAGGACAGGTGCTACCTAGCAACCCAACCCCATTTCATGTGTTTCAAGGTTTCAGATAGAGAAGACCTGAAATAGTGGTTACATTGTGTGCCTTTCAGTGCTTCATTTTAAATCTCCTGGAAAGTCTGTCCTCTGGACTGAGAACTTCCACACAGCAATAAGCATCATTCACCCTGACTTCTTGATAGCATCAGATACAAAACAAATCTGGCTTGTGAATGGCAGGCTCAGCCCAGGACTGAACAGGAGCTACATAAAATCAGAGTATGCTCCATAGATACCAGCAATCAGTATGATGTTCTTGGATGAAGAGCGTAATACATTTCCAACAAGTGGCTTATTCCTATGCCATTTTATTATCTCTTGGCATATTTCCATATGAGTACCAAATTAGGCCTGGAGGAAGGAGATAAAGCAGAGCCAATGGATAAAGTAACCTCAGATTTAAAATGTCCACTTATTCTTTAGTTTGAATCATGGCACACACAAAGAAGTTCCTATATTTGGCAAAAGAAGAAAATGTGAAAATAAGCAGCGGGGGGAGCAAATATTCATTTTAAGAAACAGCTAAGGCTCTGACTAGAACATAGATAGAATCCAGTCTAATTCTTTCCATAGAGCCAGCCAGTGTTCAACAAACATTTGTTGCAATGGAGCCTTTTTTGAAAGCTGTATCATTGTAGCCACGGTTCACTTCAATGATAAGGAAAATAAGGCTCACAAGTGGATCCGCAGGGCAAGCTCATTGAGGAAGGAAACAAGCTTTGTATCCCCTCAGTGCTATGTAAAAGGCAGATGATCAACAAATAGGTATTGAACAAATAGACAAGTGAACAAATGAATACCCGAATCCTTCAGTGACCTCAATCTTCCAGCACTGCCTGCACGAGACGATCATGCTTAAAATGAAATGCTTCATTCTGATAATATTATAAAGTTTGAAAATTTCTATCATAAACTTAGATTTTATGCCTTAAGCTGAGAATGTTTTTTACTTGGATAATAGCACCTTCCCTGGCTTTTTCCTCCCTTACATAGACATTTTGGCCCGTATTTACCCTCTATGATGTAGCAGACACAGGTGTTGCTACAAATTTTGTGTTGTACTGCACTGCAGGATTTACAGCATGTTCTATCATGGAACCACGTTTTGGCCTTAATAAAACACAGCACCACACAGCATGACATTCACTATAATCTAATTAAATACAATGCCAAGGGAAATATGTCACTGTAATGGTGAAACACACGTGCTATTTCCTTCTCTTCTCCATGAAAGGGGCAGCTAAGTCATAATTTAGGAAGAAGGTATTTAACACAGTGAGGTTCTGCAGCTTGCCAGCAAAACAAAAGGAAAAAAAATGAGGATGTAAGGGAGAGGACATAGAGAAATATGAGGAGGAAGGGGAAGACACAATAGTGAATCAGTAGTATTTCAACTATTTTTTCCTACTTAAACCAAAATCTCAGAGAATTTCTGAACTTAAAGATTTGAGAGAAGAAGTGTCTCTCAGCAATGAGTAAAAGGCAAAAGACCAAAAAAAAAAAAAAAAAAAAAAAAAAAAAGAGTTGTTCTTACCCACATTACTGGCCTACTTCTAAAAGAATTGGTTTAAATAGTCCCCCACAAAAGAGTGAAAATTTGTTTTGTTTCCATCTTAACAAAGAGTTAATGCAAGAACCATCACCAAGAGTCAGGATATCTGGGTTCTGGTCCTGGCTGCATTTTTAATGGATTGAAACCTAGGACATGTCAATTCGCATTTGAGGCCCTCAGTTATCTTATTTAAAAGACAAGACATTGGGTTTAATTATCAATGCTAAGATTCCACCATTGATTTTACATAAGAATACCTACCATTTGCATTTCTGTCTTACCTACTCAATCTGAAATTTCTGTTAGGGTCAGTAAAAGATATATCTTGCAATGCATGTATACATAAGTGTAGGATAATAAACATAACACACAACAAGCACAAGTCCCCAATTTCCTCTCACCCTGCAGCCTAGAATACTTGGACAGATGAAGGAATACAGTACTTGCAAAGTTGATTTATTGATGGTCAAAGAGCAAGCTAGTGCCCTCCTTCTGGCAAACATCTCCAGTCTCTCTAAGGGGGTCTTGAAGTCTGTTTCTCAGCTTGTGGGGTAAAAAAACACATAAAAAGAGAAGGGCATCTTACTTCCATGGACCACCTTTAAAGAATCCTTCTCTCTGTCAGATACTAGAGGCAAGCTCAGGTCTAGTTCAGCCACCTTTTAACATGCCATGTGAGGGTGTGTATAACATCTGTTTTTAAAATGGGGGCAATGGTCACCTACTGTCCTCAGCTTTGGGCTTCAGTTAAAATCCCAAAACAATAGGAAAAATCTCATTTAAAATCTGGTTAGAAACATCTAACATTTTAAACAGCCCAAAAATAGTTCTTTTTTTTTTAACCAGATCCCCTCTTATAAAAAAAAAAAAGAAAAGAAAACCTAGTCTTTCTTCCAATCTTTCTCAACTCATTATGATGACACTATCTGACCTACCAGCTGCTCAAACCAGAAGTCTAAAGCAAGCCTCAGTTTTTCTTCTTCCCTACTTCCAACCCAGCAGCAAGTCATGTTGGCTCCATGTCCTCCATTCCCAACCTAGATCCAAGCCACCGTCATCACTGAGATTCCTGCAAGAGCCCAACTGGTCCCTCAGTTTTCACTCTTGCCCCACTACAGTCCATCTACCACCCAGTGGCCAGAATGATGATCTAAACATGTAAAGTACATTATGTCACACTCTGGTTAAAGCATCCCAATGGCTTTCTAAACTACTCAAAATAAAATCCAAGAAGGGCTCCACATTACCAGGCCCACTGGTTGCACTATGCCATCTATTCACTGCCTTCCAATCAAACATTCATTTCCACCTCTGGGTCTTTGTATGCACTCTTCCCTCTCCTGGGAACACTCTACATTTAGATCTTTGACATTTAGGTCACGATTGAAATGCCCCCTCCTCCATGAGGCCCTCCCTCAACATCCATCCCACCCATGGGATCCCAACTATTCACTATCCCATGAATAGTTTTGTTCATAATCTGAAATGCTCTCATGCATTTATTTGCTTGAGCAAGGGTACCACTATACGCCTAAAGAGCAGGACCTGGCCATCGTTCTCACTCAATGGATTTTTTCTGAATGAATGAATTTTGTCTTTGGACTTAATGTGTGAAGCAGTTCTTCAATGAACCTATCTGTGGGTATGGTTAACAGGAATGAATCTTCAGAGAAAGTACCAAACTAATAAAAAGACTGTTGGCATCCTTTCTTGAGTTACTGTTTAAAATCAAAATTTTTACACAACATTTCAAGTGTTTAATTCCAAAAGGGCTTATTTCTGAATCAATTCAAAGGTACTGGGGTGGGGGGGGAGGGGGTTGAGATAATGACACATAAACCTTGACTTCATTCTTAAGATTTTATTAAATAAATGTGCCACCTAAACTAGAAGAGGGGAGCATTTTTCCAATTGCAAATCAGCAGAAACCTACAAAACTCCATTAAAAGTAAATAAAATATCTAAGCAGTTTTTTATCTAAAACAGGACACTTTTGAGGGTGAAGAGGAGTGCTATTAATAAATATACAGTACTGAGACAACAGCATATACTCATGTTGTCACCCTAGTTAAGGGCCATATAGGTAATTTCAAAAATGAGATTCAGTCATTTATTTGGGCTAATTTTTTGTTTATTTTTTTATGAAGAGTGTGTTGGATTGTAGATTGTTTTGAAGAGAAACTAGAAGGAATGAAAGGAGAGTGTACTATGAAAGAAATAAATAGAAAACAATTATTTTAAAAAATAGAGTACAATAAACACTACTAAACAATTAAAACAAACATTTTAGGCATACATTTTGGTGAAAGACAGGAGCATGAGAAAAAAAGAAGGGTGACTAGACAAGGGAAAGACAAATAAACAAAGAGAATGGCAGATGAAAGAGAGTCACAGAGAAGCAGAGGAGCTGAAAAGAAGGGCAGTGTCATTAATAGACCCAAGAAGTTATTACAGGTTGGGTTTCCCACAAAGAAGATGGTGAGATGGAGACTGGCAACCTGTATGTTTACTAAAAAGAGCTGTTGGGATTAACACTTGTAGAAACATAGGAAAGGAGGTGGATTTGGGCAGAGGGAGAAGTTAAGCTTCAATGCAGGACCAACAAAGAATTCTACCTACCCCTCAAGTAGTTCTGGAGCTGGGATGGCTTTTCTAAGTTGTCCTAAGTTGGAGCAAGAGAGCCAGGTCTTTATACTCAAGTGTTACTTGGCTACTGCACAGAGGTCAGTGACTGAGTAAACATGATTTTGAGGGAGGCAGTTTTCTTCAGCTGAGCTCATCTCCAGACAGAGCTAAAAGCTCCAGACAGAGCTGAAAACTCCAGACAGAGCTTCTGTCCCCACAGAAGCCTAGTGTCCAGATAGGTCATTTTGGTTCTTCCTCTTTCTTTTTGTCTATATGTGTGACCTTCCACATATTTCTGTTCTTCCTTTCCATGCATGTAAAGGAAGTATGTGTATATACCAGTTTCTCAACACTTATCCTGACATATGCTTTTGGGTTAAAATATCCTTGAGGGCATAACTTCCACATTTTCCTTACTGTTTTATCTCAGTATCTGCTAAAATAAAACAGATGCACATGGTAGATGTTCAATAAATCACTTTCCAGAGTCAAAATGGGATTCAATCTGACCTCCAGGGCTTGCTGCAATCTGGAGCCAATTGTACATGACCACGTCCTTCCTTGTGTTAATCTCTGGTGAAAGAACTGCCCAAATTTTTCTTAAATTTGTTGATATATTTTTATTTTGCCTAAATCATCATTCCTTTCCTCATGGCTACCTCTACAATGCCAAAAGCAATCTTCTCTCCATCTTGAATCTTATCGATGAGAACATATATAATTTTAACACTGTCATCACTGTCATCACTAAACTTCCTCCAAAAGTTCTGAATATCCATGCTTAATCTGTCTACTTATCTTTCACATTTCCAAAACATCAAATAAGTTTAAAGTAGTTTAAAAAAATGATGTCTACATGAGAATAATGTGAAAAGTTATTCTATCCTGTTCTTTCCCTAACAAACTTGCTACAAATGTATAGCAAGATCCATAGGGAAAAATCTGAGCCCATTTGCAAATTGTCATATGAAGGCTGCTCAACTGCAGAAGGAAACTGAGATTTTTAAGTATGTGGAGTAATTTTTATAAGTCACCATTTTAAAACCCCTTTAAAATGCTTGAGATTTCAGTTGCTAGGAGAAATCATCTTTAAACTGATAATTGTCTAAAAACAATTCTGTTTTAATTAAATATTATTTAATTCCTTTTACTTCACTTAAATTTACTGGATTTTTTAAATTTATAACTCAGTTTGCCATTTTTTTTTAATTTCAATAGCTTTTGAGGTACACATAGTTTGTGGTTACATAGATGAATTCTATAGTGGTGAATTCTCAACTTCTAGTGTACCCATTACCTGAGCAGTGTACACTATACCTAATATGTAGTCTGTTGTCCCTCACCACCTCCCAACCTCCCCCAACCCTGAGTTCCCAAAGTCCATTATATCACTCTGTATGTCTAAGACATTTCATTCTTTTTCATGGCTGAGTAGTATTCCATGGTCTCTATATATCACATTTTCTTTATCCACTTGATGGCCAGTAGGCACTTAGGTTGCTTCCATATATTTGCAAATGTGAATTGTGCTGCTATAGACATACATGTGTATGTATCTGTGTCTTTTTCATATACTGACTTACTTTCCTTTGGGTAGATACCCAATAGTGAGATTGCTGGATTGAATGGTAGATCTACTTTTAGTTCTTTAGGAATCTACATACTGTTCTCCATAGAGGTTGTACTAATTTACATTCCCACCAGCAGTGTAAGTGTTCCCTTCTGCCACATCCACACCAACATCTATTGTTTTTCCACTTTTTAATTCTAGTTTACCATTTTTTCTAAGGATTTTTAGATATTTGTGATAATTAATTTGATTTTTCAGTATCCTGTTAGAAGTTTTAGCTTCTCCCTTGACTCTTCTCTACCAGCTGAGAAAAGTTACTGGATGCCTTAGCAACTTTGACAAAACAGGCTGACACTTTCAGAAAAACTTAAATGGGGACAAGCAGAACTCAATAATAATATCCTATCTATTTCTAACTATAAGAAAAGTAAAACTCTATATTACTATGTAAACAAATTTAAAGTAAGTTTTCTATCATGGATTATACTCCCAATGAGGCAGCATAATACAACCAGACAGACTGAGTTCAATGTGCTGACCAGCAGTGTGACTTGGGACAAGTGTCTTTGCTGCTCTGAGCCTTGATTTCTTCACCTATAAAATGACAGTCTCTACAACCACCATGAGGATTCCATAGACACTTAAGACAGTATCTTGTACAGAGTAAGCAACTCAGAAAATGGCAGTTATTACTAACTTTTGTTTAGGGTAAATGCTTAAAATATATGAAATGTCAATTATGAACACACACAGTGTAGTGTATTTACATCCATGAATTGAACATCAAGTTTTGTTTAATGATAATGGACTCCAGATTCATAATTAGGCAAGCAAATGCAGTAATCCCCCTTTATCCAGCGTTTCACTTTCTGAGGTTTCAGTTACCCATGTTCAACTGCAGTCCTAAAATAATAAATGGAAAATTCCAGATATAAACAATTTGCATGCTTGAAATTGTGCTGTTCTGAGTAGCATAATAAAATCTCTCACCATCCTGTTCTGTCTTCCACCCCACCCTCCACCAGACATGAATTATCCTTTGCCCAACCTATCCACACTGTATATGCTACCTGCCCATTGGCCACTTAGTAGCCATCCCAGTTATCAGATTAAAAATACATAGTCCATACTGTATATACAGGATTTAGTACTATACACAGTTTCAGGCATCTACTGGGGGTCCTGGACCATATTTCCTTCCAATAACGGGGACCACTGTAATTAGGAAACACCTACTTCTTTTGTATATCATGTCTTGGGCTCGCCTCAAAGTTAAGTACAAGCCAGCTAATTATTTTTGATGCTCTTTATTTTTTCCTTCTTAAAAGAATTAAGAAATTCATTTTCTTTTACTCTTAATAAATATCAAACTGAGGACAGGCCATACACAACTGGTTGTAATTAGAAATACACATAATCATTCCGTGATAAATTACTTTATTAATATGTTCAGGTGAGTCTTTCCATAGAGGAATATCCTCCACTAGCCATTTATCTTACATCTTTTTACTTTAGCATGCTACAAAGTACTAAAAATGCATACATTGCCCAGCAAATCCATGATGATGACCAATGAGAATATTTCCCTGGATACATGCTTTAAAATATTAGTAAGTATTTTCTTTTTATTATTATTAATGAAGATATTTCTTTAGCATGGACTTTGCTTTTTTTTTTTTTTTTTTTTTTTTTTTTAGACAGAGTATCACTCTGTTTCCCAGGCTGGAGTGCAGTGCAACGATCCTGGCTCACTGCAACCTCCACCTCCCAGGTTCAAGCGATTCTTCTGCCTCAGCCTCCCATGTTGCTGGGATTACAGGCACACGCCACCACACCCACCTAATTTTTGTATTTTCAGTAAAGACAAGGTTTCACCTTGTTGGCCAGGCTGGTCTCAAGCTCCTGACCTCAGGTGATCCACCCGCCCTGGCCTCCCAAAGTGCTGGGATTACAGGCATGAGCCACTGTGCCCGGTCCAACTTTATATTTTTGATGCTTGTCACAGGCTTATCGATACTAACAACAAGATTAAGAAAAGCTTTGAACATCTGACCAGTCACTCACCTTACATAAGAATTATCTGGCAACTTATTAAGTTAAATTATTACTGAAGGCTTGCTGCGTAGCTAAAGAACATCATCTGATTAGGTTCCATGAGAAATCAGAAAGTTTAGGAAAAGTCTGAACTAAACACCAAGCAACTGGGCATCTATTGATCTGGCTGTTTTTCTATTTTTAATTAGAAATTGACTTCCACAGTCATTTTACATTAGTAACAGAGTAAAACAAGTGGAGCAGATTTGGAGTATTCAGACATTTACCTAAAAACCTGACGTACTATGATGTTTCTGCAAATGCAATATTAAGTGGAGCATTGAAGTAATTATCTGGATAATTAAAAATCTCATGATATGCTATCAAGGGGAAAGGGTGGGAAGTAGAGAATGGAGACTCAAATTACCCATTAAAAAATCATTACCTCTGTTTTAACCACTATTAGTTTCCAAATGGAATGCCTCATTTAGATGACAAGAATCTCCAAAACAAAGAAAATATTCCAATGTGATTATGTGATTATGTAATTGAAAAACAATTACTCATATCTATAAAAAGAGAGGAAGTATTTCTATAGAATCACAAGTGAAACTTTGTCCAAATTATTTATGTTTTCCCACAGTGTCAGCCTTGCCCAAATTCAAATGCAAGCTCAAATGAGAAGGAATAAAACAAGATTTTCAACGTGTTTGAAATTCTATTAGACTGGCTTTCCCTCCGTTGCTCCCGCCAATGAGATCACAGCAGTTGTAAAAGATACACAAAAGTTAACTCCAAAAGACCACCGGAAATTGGCTTGAAAGGGGAAGTAAACTTGGAATCATTAATTCAGAGATCATTGACACCATCAAAGCATTTCATTTTAGCCATAATATCGAGATTTACTAAATCTTTTCCCCAACGTGAAAGCTGATAGAATATAAGCTAGAACTAACTATTAATACAAGCCCAGACCTGACTTTCTACGTTCCTATTTAGTAGGCTTTGCCAGCAGCCTGTCTTCTCAGGACAAGAGGATAATGTCAGGTCTGGTCAGGACCAATATAACCCATAGGCTATCACCTCACATGCATATAAATTATTCTCTTTGAGGGAGTCATACATTAAGCTTTCTTTTGACAATTTAACATGAAAAGTTGTGTCACACTGATCTGTTTCTGAGTTCACACTCTTTGAGCAGGTTGAATGAAGTAAAATAAACCCACCATCTGTTCCTGACACTTGTTTAATTTTGGAGGGAATCTAAAATTTGACTAACTCTGTAAAAGGAGCTGAGAAAATGTAAACAAAGCCTCTTAATTTAAAATTGACTAAACGCATGTTTTTCCTACTTTCAGACAATCTGCTGTCTTTCAGCTGTGCTTGCTCAATTCTGCATCATTCTGGGAGCCCTGGTGTCACAGCAGTGAACAGGCAGGGTTCAGTGGAGATGAGACTGTGCCAACCTGGCCTCCTCTGCAGCATACAAATAAGTGCCCTTATGAAAGATTAATAATGCAGAGCACACCAAGGTAGACGGCTTGGCACAGCGCTGAATGCACATGAACAGAAGCAGCCAGGACTCGCCAACCCAAATGTGTCTGCACAGTCTGACTGTCTACAAGTGTGCTTGGCCTCCTAATTGCCAGTCTCCTTTCCCATCACCCTCAAGGGCTTCATGAATAAAGATGAAGGACAAGCACTTTCTGCTTCCCTTTAGTACCTCAGCAGGTGCACACTTAATAAACTTTTTTATCTCTTTGGGTACAAATGACCTCAGAGATTCTGCAAACCCAAAACTGTCATCATTTTTTCTCTTTTTGTCTACAAAAATATGCCCAAGTTACTGAGGAAGAGGAGAAGGGAATGCATGGATGACAACAGTAAAAGAAACAAACTAATCTCAAATGCAGAATGTCCACGCAGAAAATATCCACCCACTGTGACAAATATGCCTTACTCCTTAGCAATCCATCTGCTACACTTACCAAAGAAAAGCCACCAAATTCAAAAATGCTAAAAAGTGTTAGCATGTGATAAGGAGTCCCTAGTGTCTCCATGAAAGATGTACAAACATCTTTGGAAAGAGAAATGTGGATTGTATTAATTTGACGGTCATCTGAAAGGATGGCTGGCCCCAAACCCAAGGGCTGAATGCAGCCTATGGAAGCTCTACAGGCAGCCATCAGGGAACACATCAAGAGAGAAAACTGACTTTACAGAGCTTTTTCACATAGGGATTTACAATCAGATTTCAACCTTCAACAGACCCACAATAGTATTACAATATAAAGCCACAAATGTGTGAGTGAGCCAGCCAGCAACTGAACACATTTTTAAAGTCACAATGATCTAAAAGTGGATTTGTTTTTACATGTGGCAGCTACTTTCACTCCACAGTCAGTAGCACCTAACTGGCATTTGCTAAATTTGTAGAATGAATGGGTGAATTAACAGTGATAAATTATGGATCTTGCCACTGACAGGGTTTTGCTTCCCAAAATGTTCACTGCCTCTTTCTTTCAAGCAGTTGGAATGGCTTCCTATGATGCATATACCAAAATTCATGGTAAACTATAAATAAGAGGGCAAAGCATGAAATTCAAGGGAAATACAAACTAAAGCAGAAAGACAAAGCAAGGCGAAGACAAAAATACAGATACATTGGATTCAGTTCATGATGACCCATCGAGTTTCTTCCAAGCTTCCTGAGAGTCAAAAGAAAGAGAAAACTTTATTCAGCAACACATACATGTGTGTTACCAGAGAGGATACAATATCCCAGTTCCACAGAAAAACCAAGTTCTAAATTAGGACTGGTATTACAAAAAAAATTTATGTGTGGTTTTACAGAGGGGATGCCTTGTCCTGCTGTTACACTAATATGTCTGGACTGCTCCTGCCTCCGGCCTTTGTAGCTACTGTTCTGTTGCCTGGAATGTTCTGTTCCCTGTAATTCACACAACTCACTCCCTCACTGCCTCAAGTCCTAGCTCAAATGTCCTTGTTTCAATAGGACCTTTCCCAACAATCCCACTTAAAATTGCTAACCTCCATTCTCATCCCTGCACTCCTGCCCCCTTTTTTCCGGCTTATTTTTCTGCATAGCATCTACCATCATTTTAACATACCACATATTTATTTTGTTTATTGGCTTACCACCAGCTAGAATGTAGGTTCCCCCAGACCAGAATTTTCCTCTGTTTTGTTCATTGCTGTACCCTAGGGCCTATACCAGTATCTGCAAGTTTATTGAATGAATGGATAAACGGACAATAGTCTAAACAATATTATTATGACAAGTGCAATAGTTTCCCATGGTGAAGTAATTCCAGTGGATAAGATAATGTGATCCTGTTATATGAACATCTAGTGATGTGGCTTGATCCTAGGTCAGATGTAAACCACCTAGAATGACTCTTAATCATATCTGGTCACAGATTCCTTTGAGACTTAGGAAAGAGATAAACCTTCTAATACAGTTGCTATGGTTTGAATGTTTGTGTCTCCTCCAAAATTCGTATGTTGAAACTTAATCACCAGTATGATAGTAATAAGACGTGAGGCCGTCCCAGACACTGAAACTGCCAGCACCTTGATCTTGGACTTCCAGCCTCCAGAACTGTGATAAATAAGTTTCCATTTTGTGTAAATTACCCAGTCACAGGTATTTTGTTATAGCAGAACAAACAGACTAAAACAGCAGTGTTATACAATAAAAATATAATGTGAGTTGTATATCATGGTAAATTTTCAAGAAGCCGCATTTAAAAAGCTAAATTAATATTAAAACTATATTGTATATACCTAAGTTATTTCAACATGTAATCAGTATAAAATATTATTAAGGAGATATTTTATTCCCTTTTTGTAGTAAATCTTTGAAATCTGGTGTCTATTTCATTCACATTAGACACATTTCAAGTGCTCAATAGCATACATAGGCCAGGTGCAGTGGCTCATGCCTGTAATCCCAACACTATGGCAGGGTGAGGCAGGAGGATCACTTGAGACTGGGCAATTGAGGCTGCAGTGAGCTATGATAGCACCACTGCACTCCAGCCTGGGTGCCAGAGCAAGATCCTGTCTCTCTCTCTCTCTCTCTCTCTCTCTCTATATATATATATATATATATATATATGTGTGTGTGTGTGTGTGTGTATATGTATATATATATGTGTGTGTGTATATGTAACACACATAGCTAGTGGATACTATATTGTATAGCACAGCTCTAACCAGACAAATTTCATGTATATCCATACACAGAAAATTTCAAATATAATTCTGGGGGTCTCAGGCTCTGTGAAACCCATCTATGGATTCCAAAGGAATTCTAGACTCTAGTTAAGAATCTTTAATGGGATTGAGAGAAAATATCTACTGGAAATCAGTTATTCCACAACAGAAACTTATTCATTCCTTCACACATTCATTATTAATCCATAAACATGTACATTCTTATGCAGGTCCTTTACTTGGCCCTGAGACACATGGTAATATATTTAATCCTGATACTTCAAATGAGAATAGTCATTTCTGACTTTCCTGTCCCAGGAACCTAGAAAATAATTCAGTAAGCTCAGACAAGACACCAAACTTTCCAAAGGAGTCTGTTTTTTTCCCAACTCTAAATATAATTCTTCTTAGCCTCCTTGTAAAATGATGTACCTTTAAGTCTATAATTGCTACATTACTTGTGATGTGCCTTTTGGGAGAGAAAACAGCCTGAAGTTTTATAGCTCCCAGTCCCCAACCAGCTATATGCCATAAAATAAAATGGGTCTCTCCAGTGGGTTGGACCAGATCTGGCCTTTCCAAAACAGCAAGGTGACCCATCCTTGGTCACCACCTGCACATTTGTTAAGACTCAGCTGAAATATTACTTTCTCTGTAATAAACCTTGGAACTCCTCAAAGTAGGACTGCCAGATAAAACACAGGATGCTCAGAAAACTTACATTTCAAATTTTTAAAAAACAATTTTTATCTGATTTTTCTATGCAATATTTGGGACATACTTACATTTAAAAAATACTGTTAATCTAAAATTTAAATTTAATTTTATTTTTATTTGTTAAATCTGGTAACCCTACCACAAAGACAAATTCATTTTCCCCCCTCTTAAAGATAAATATAAATCTACAGTCCTTTAAGCAAAACCTTGGAGCCAGAAAGCTGCTCCCATCCTCATTACAACTAGATCGGCAAGGAATTTCTGCCTAGGTGGAGCTGGCTGTGAGGACACACAGCACCATCAAAGAGGAGTGGTGAGAGAGGTCCACATCTAGTGGCGGTGGCAGTGAAAGTGACAGTGTTGGCAGTAGGCCACCTGGAAGGGCCGATGGTTCTATTGGCTAAAGTTGCAGTTGTCATCAGGACAAACCTATTCTTAGCTGAAGTTGTGTACCTGTGAACACTGACCAAAGACAGCCCAAGCTAGCAACACATTCCTGGTCAATCCTGACACTGTATGCATGCAGCAAGGAGATACAAAACGACCCAGCAGAAAGTAAAAGCAAGGCAGATTTGAAAACAGCCTTAATTTGATCGTGCTCTAATATGCGCGCGCGCGCGCACACACACACACACACACACACACACACACACACACATGCACACACACACTCCAGCAGATGACAGAAGGCTTTTTTTCTTTAAAAATAGACATTTATTTTCTTACAGCTCTGGAGGCTAGAAGTCTGAGATGAAGGCGTCAGCAGGAGTGGTTTCTTCTGAGGCCTCTCTCCTTGGCTTGTATGTGTCTTCACATGGTTGTCACTCAGTGTCTTGGGTCACAGTCTTAGTATAAATTCCATTCTATCAGTGGCTAGCCAATAAGCTATGTATGCAGACACACATGATGCCTAGGAAGCCATGCTTAAAAATAAAAATGAGAACTTAAAAAAAAATGAGCAAAAACATCAGTGGCTACACACAGTGGGGGAGACAAGTTTTTCAAATCCCAGGCAATTGTTAAACCAACAGCAACACAACTTTAGGGGACATGAGAGAGCAGGAAATCAGAATTTATAATTGTTACCACATATTACCTAAAATGTCCAGTTTTCAACAAAAAATTATGAGACATACAATGATACGGCCAAGTGCAACCTATACTCAGGGAAAAAAGTAATCAGTAGAAACTGTCTCTGAATATCTCCAGATGTTGGATTTAGTGGACAAAGACAGCAAAGCAGCTATTACAAATATGTTAAATGAACAAACGGAAGCATATTTAAGGAATTAAAGTTTTTTTGTGTTCACACACACTAAGGTCTGTATATATATAAGAATTCTACAGCTCTTCTGACTTTCCATGCAGTTGGCAGTACCTGACTGAGAGAGGTAAGTTTCCTGGGTATGCTATAATTTACCCAGGACAATTGCAGTAGACCAGAGATTGGTTCCTTTGCTTCTGTTTTGTTTTGTTTTGCTTTGCTTTTCCTTTTGCAGTGAGACCAGAAATTGGCTTCTTTGCTCGTTTTATATATCTCATTGCATCTTATATCAGTACAGTATCAGTAAACACTAGTATAAATAGCAAACTTTCTATGTAGCACACCTGTTAGGTTTCAGTGTGACTTGCCTTCCTTTCCAGCAGCAGCCTTGCAAATGGTTTTGGTAAAGACATTCTGTGGGCAAATTACCAGTTTTTTCCATTTATTTGCTGTGTGACTTTGAGCAAGTTTCCTAACCTCTCTGAATTTTCTCATGTATAACACAGGGTTTTTAAAAAACTCTACCTTGTGAAGTTCTCATGTGTTCATTTAATAACTCTTATGGAGCACCTACTATGGTCCAGGCATTACATAGGTGCTAGGGAAAGAGGGATGTACAGGACAAATAAGATACCTAGCTTTCATTCTATTGAAGTGGGGGTGGGGTGGGGGGGTGCAGACAGTAGAGAAGGAAAAAGATAACTAATTCAGTAAGATATTTTAATTGAGTGATGACTGTTATAAAGAAATTAAACTTCCTATTGTTTAACAATAAAGCAATAAGTAGAAAATCTCAATAAAGAGACAGTTTTTTAAGAACTAAATGAAAATTTAGGAGCTGAAAAGTATAACAATTGAAATAAAAAACTGACTAGAATAGCTCAGTGGTAGGTTAGTGACTGAAAATAAATCAATAGAAATTATCTAATCTGAAGATCAGAAAAAAAAGATTAAAGAAAAATGAACAGAGCTTTCAACACCTGTAGGACAACATCAAGTATATCAGCATACATTTAATGGGAATCTCAGGAAGAAAGGAGAGAAAGAGAAAGGGGCAGAAAAACATTTTTAAAAATTTTGTGGGAAATTTTTTTTTAAGAAATGTATCTACACATCTAAGGATCTAAACCAATCTCAAGTAGGATAAATTTAGATGCTTACACCTATCTCATCATACTCAAATCATTGAGAGCCAAAAAGAGAGAGAAATAATTCATTTAAATAGAAAGACAAAAATAATTCATCGTGTACAAGGGACCATTAATGTGAACTGACTTCTCATCTGAAACAATGAGAGCCAAAAACAGGGGAATAGTCCATATGCTGAAGAAAAGAAAAAAATGTCAGCTGAGGATTCTATACTCAGCAAAACTATCTCAAAAATGGAGGCAAGATAAAGACATTCCCAAGAAACAAACACAGAAAAGTTAGTGCTAGAAACCTGCCTTACCAGACATTCTAAAGTTCTTCATCCTGATAGAAAATGACACCAAACAATAACTTAAATCCATAAGAAGAAATGAAGTGCATTGAATATGGTAAATATATGAGTTAACATGAAAGATTATTAATATATTTTCCTCATTTCTTTGTTTAAATTCCTTGACAAAATATGTGATTTTTATTCTAAAAAGAATTATAACATTGTATGGAGAGATGTAATATATGTAACAATAACAGTATGAAGTAATGGGGAAAAAATGGAGCTATATTGAAGCAAGGTTTTGTTTTGTTTTTCTTTTTTTTTTTTTTTTTTGAGACAGGATCTCATTCTGTCATTCAGGCTGGGGTGCAGTGACACAAAGATGGCTCATTGCAGACTCGGCCTCCTGGGTTCAAGTGATCCTCCTGACTCAGCCTCCTGTGTAGCTGGGACCACAGGTGTGCACCACCACACCCAGCTAATTTTTAAATTTTTTGTAGTGATGGGATATCACTTTGTTGCCCAGGTTGGTCTCAAATTGTGGGCTCAAGCAATCTTCCTGCCTCAGCCTTGTGAAGTGCCAAGATTAAAGACATGAGCCACCATACCGAAGGTTTTTATTGTATTTTTTTTTTTTACAAAATATGCTAATTTTACTAAGTACTCTGTCATACACTGGCAACCTCTTTAACATCTAGAGACTAAATGTCACAAAATTAGGACTCATTTGTCCATTATATACACTATATACAGAGCAAAACAAAATGCATGAAACATACAGAAAAATGGTGTCTGAAAATGTCCAATTATGAACACACTAGCATATTACTTTTGGCAATTTCTTCCCTCCCACCTCCTCTGAACCATTGAACAAGTATAGACAGTACTATACTGCTCACAAAGGTGGCTTCACAATTAAATTTCCAAAAGACAACATTTCCCATGAATTTTAGCAAAAAGAAATTTACAAAGTGGTATTTTACTACCTCTACATTTAACATACATTGGGCACCTCTAAACATCTAGGTAGACTAGATGTTTCAAGTAAGGAGTGAATTCATCCACTCCACACAGCAGTCTTGAATAAACTGCAAACATGTAACAACAGTTATAATTTGAAAGAGTCTTCCAAATATGAACATTCTGGCCTAGAACCTTTCCTATCTTCATCAACCCAGTGGGCAAGAATGCTCACATTTTCAGAAGACAATCTTTCCTATGACTTTTAAAACAAAATGTACAAAATATATTAGTTTACTAACTATTTTGGACATACACTGGCAACCTCTTTAACATCTACAAGAACTGGATTTGTAAATTAGGTTTCATTTGTCCTATATGTACACTATAGACACAGGTAAGTAAAGCAAGTCAGGGACACCCACCCCGCTGATGATGCTGGGTTCCTGCGCCTTGGGAGGAGGCTCTGCATGAGGCAGTGTCCCCAGAGTCTGCCCCACATCAGGGTGACTGCTGAGCCTGATGCTTCCAGTGGTCAAGCCTAGGGTCCCCAATCCACTCCCAGAGGCACCACATGGAGTAGGGCTATGAGCCAAGTGAGGAGGAGCCCAGGACCACCACTGAGCACCAGGGCCATGAAAAGAACTTGTGGCGATGTCACCCCTGCCCTGGATGCCAGCCCACGGCCAGGAAGGACCTGGAGCCCCTGCCCCAGGCTGCAAGGAGGCATGGCCAGGGCTGCACACTCCACGAAGCCTACAGGAGCCAGGGACAAGCAGAAGCCCTGGCCCTTCAGAGTTGGCAGGGCAGGAGCTCCCTAGGTGCAGCTGCAGCCAACCTGACATGGCTGTGGACCCAGGCATCTCTGCACTCTCAGGGCCCAGCAAGCACCCCCTTCCCCCTGCAGGCTCAAGTGTGCCTGCTCCTGCTGCCTGGCTTCTCCTCATTGTTGGCACCCACTCCAATCTTGGAGCAAGGGCAGGGCCAAGCCCAGGCACTGTCACAGCCTGGCTGGGGGTGCACACACTCAGGGCAGTACTGACATACAAGCCTGCTGCCACCTCAGCCCCCTCCAGACTTTGGTGCCCACAAGCATGGGAGGGAGGCCAAGGGGACACTGAGGACAGCCCAGCACTGGCCTGCAGGTGCCCCTTGGCATGAACAGCCTGGGCACCATGAACAGCAGCAGGAGGCAGACAGGCTCCTGGGCAGAAGGGGGAGGGTCCCCAGTGAAGCCCAGCTTTCAAGCCGGAGAGGGCCTGAAGCCTGGGGGCTGGGCCACTGGTCCCACAGCCCAGAGGGGGAACTTGTGGTGCTTTTTTCTGGGCCCATCCATGGTCACCCATAAGCCAATCAGCACACACTTCCTCTCCTCTGTGGCCCATAAAAACCCCAGACTCAGCCAGACTCAAACAGAGGACAGAGAGACGATGGGGAGGTGATGGGATGACCAGCTGCAAAGAGGAACCACCCTTTCTGCTGAGAGCTGGACATTCATCAGGACAACCTGCCTAGCAGAGAGGAACTACCCTCTCTGCTGACAGCTGAAGAGATGATGGGATGACCAGCTGCAGAAAGGAGCTGCCCCTTCTGCTGAGAGCTGAACACTCTTTGGGACACCCTGGCTATGGAGAGGAGCTGCCTACTGCAGGTTTCCTCTGAGCTGTTCTATTGCTCAATAAAGCTCCTCTTCATCTTGCTCACCCTCCTCTTATCTGCACACCTCATTCTTTCTGGTCGCAGGACAAGAACTTGGGACCTCCTGAATGGTAAGGCTAAAAGAGCTATAACAAAAACAGAGCTGAAATATGCCCCTTGCTCACCACATTGTGGGTAAAGAGAAGGAGAGAAGAGCTGTGGCCCTTCAGGGAGCCCAGACCTGGGAGTTCCCCAAGCCAGGGCTGTGACTCCCTCTTTGGGACCTGTGGTTCCTGGCATCTCCAATCTTCTGGGCACTACCACATTCCCCAGTGCCAGCCAGGGAAGCAGCTTGTAGTGCACCTGGTCCAGCCACAGCCTCTCAGAGAACCAGCACCCAGGCCAGCATCTGGAGCCGCCCACCCTGTGGCAGCAGTGGGTGTGTCTGTGTGACCCCACACTCACTCACACACCCCTCACCACTCAATGACTGACCTGCAGTCTCCCTTGGAGGCATGAGATGCAGGCTGATAGCATGCAGCCTGCTAGTCCAAGTGGGCGGAACAAGCCCAGTGGGCCCAAGCAAAACTCAGGCAAAGGCACAACTAGCCACAGAGTTTCCCAGCCAGAAAAGCGACACCCCAAAGATCTCATAACAACAGATCTCATCCATTGAAACACAGCAGTCACCTGGGACCCAGATCTGCACAGCTCCATGGCCTAAAGAGGTGACCAAACCTGCCTGTGTCCACAGACCTCCTTCCCAGGCCCTCCACACCCTAATGGCATTTGCCGCATTTGGGTGGTCACCATGCTTCCCAGCCTGCCATTCCCACTGACTTCAAAAAATGCTGCATCCTGGCAGCTCAATGGGGGTTTCATGTAGGCCAAGCAGGGTTGAGCTGGGATACCCAGCAGTGGCCAGTGGGGTCCAGGCTTGGAGAGGCCACCACCATTAGTCACCAAGGTGAGGTAGGGAAGAGAGGTTCACCACTGCTTCAAGGCCTGGGCCTGGCCAATGGGTAGCCACAGCAAAGGCCCCGGGTGTCTGCAGGGCAGAGGGTGCAGCTTGTCCTGGGCCCCCTCAGCTCACCTGCTACCCAGAGGGCCCTGGAGGAGCACGCTGTGCTCTGCATCTCACCATGCTCTCTGCTAGACTGGAGCTCAAGGTTTTTATTTTTTACCAAAATTAAGTCAGTATTATTCTAAAGTCGATAGTGAAGAATTAGAAAGTATATTGTAATTCCTAGAGCAACTACTAAGAAAATATATATATATGTATATGACTACATATATGCATCCATGTTAAATAAATCTACCGTGAATCTAATTGGCACACTAAATTACTGAACATAAAAGACAGCTGTAAACAGGAACAGAAAAACAAAAAATACATTAGACACAGAAAACAAAGAAAAATGTCAAATGTAAATCTGATCATATTAATAATTACACTAAAAAAGAATGTACTAAGTTATTTAATTAAAAGGCAAAAATTGCCTGACTGATTAAAAAACCAAGAAGCAACTATAAGTTGAGCATGCCCTATCTGAAATGCTGGGGCCAGAAGTGTTTCGGATTTCTGATTTTTTCCGATTTGGGGATATTTGCACTATTTACCAGTTGAGCGTCCCAAATGAAAAATTAGAAATAAAAAATACTCCAATGAGCATTTCCTTTAAGCATCATGTTTGCACTCAAATAGTTTCAGATTTTAGAGCATTATGGATTTCAGATTTTCACATTTGGGATGCTCAACCTGTATTTACTATCTATAAGACAGATACCACACATTCAAAGACATACATAGGTTGATAACAAAAGGATAAGAAAAGATGAACCACTATTACAAACAGTATATATAAGACAGCTGAGTGGCTATATTATTATCAGACAAAATAAATTTTTAAGAAATATTATGGATAAAATGGTGAAAGCATACAATTTATAATAAATGTTTACACACCTAACAATAGAATCTCAATATATATGAAGCAAAATCTGAAAAACCAAAAGAAAAATGACAACAATAATAGTTAGAAATTGTCATATCCCATTCTCCATAGTTCATAGAACAAATGGAAATTCATTAAGTCTATAGGAGACTTAGACAATACTATTTACACACTTAGCCTAAGCGATATGTAGAATGTTCTACCCAATGACTGCATAATATACATTCTTTTCAAGCATGTATGAGACATTCTTCAGGGTCTACCATATGCTAGATTATAAAATAAGTTTTAATAAATTTAACATGAATAAAATCATAAAATATTTTCTGAGTACAATAGAATTAAATATGAAATTCCCAAATATTTGGAAATTAACATACTCCTAAATAATCTATGGGTCAAAAAATAAATTACAAAAAGAATTAGAGAAGAATTTGAAGCAAGTGAAACTGCAGAAATTTATGGGCTGCAGTACTAAAACAATGCTTAGAGAGACCTTTATAGATTTAAAAGCCTTTATCAGAAAAGAAAAAAAGGCCTTAAATCTGTAAACTTAGCTTTTCTCTTAAGACACTAAAATAAAAATAACAAACCCAAAGCAAGCAAAAGAAAGTAAATATAAAGACTACAGCAGATATCAACAAAATAGAAAACAAATTATATAGGGAAAAAAGCTATGAAACAAATAGTTCTTTGAATAAAACAACAAAATTGACAAATCTTTAGATAGAATGACTATAGTGAACTGAACGGTGTCCCCCAAAAAGCCATGTCTGTAACCTAATCCCTGAGGTCTGTGAATATTACCTGATACAGCAAAAGACTGAATATTACCATCTGAAGCAAATGATGTAATCAAGTTAATAACCTTGAAGGAAGGAGATTATCTTGAATTACACAGGTGGGCCCTAAATGCAATAACATGTAACCTTACAAGAGAGAATAAGTGGGAGCGTTAAGACAGAAGAAGAAGATAAGGCAATGTGACCATGGAGGCAGAGATTGGAGTGGTGGGGCCACAAGCCAAGGGATGCCTGGAGCCACTAGAAGCTGGAAGGCTAAGGAATGGTTTCTCTCTTAGAGCCTTCAGAGGGTTCATGGCTTTGCCAACACCTCAACTTTGGACTTCTGGCATCCAGAACTGTGAGAGAATAAATTTAAGTTATTTTAAGCCATCCAGTTTGTGGGAATCAGTTTCAGGAACCACAGGAAACTAATACACTGACCAAGGGGGGAAAGAAAGAAAGATAAATTACCAGAACCAGAAATATTAAAAAGGAGCATTGCTACCAATCTTACTGAAACCCAGGCTTAAATCATGTTCATCATTATTGGATCAAGGAGAGCTATTGCTACTCTAACAGGGTCTGCTGGCTGAAAGAAAATCACATCTTCTCTGGAAGAATAACAGATACGCAAACATTACCTATAAATTTTGATACACAAAGCCTGACATTAAACGGAAACTTAACAGGCATGGCAAGAAGAAAGACCAAATAAGAATAAAATGCTAAAATACAAAAGCAGCAGACCCAGCAGCAATCCAAATATTGGAGTTAGATATTGAAATAACTGTTTAATATGTTTGTGAAAATAGATTGGGATGTACAGAATATTACCAGTGTATTAGGCCATTCTTACATTACTGTAAAGAAATACCAGGACTGGGTAATTTATAAAGAGAAGAGGATAATTGGTTCACAGTTTTGTAGGCTATACAGGAAGCAAGGCACCAGCATCTGCTTGGCTTCTGGTGAGGGTCTCAGGAAGCTTACAATCGTGGCGCATCATGAAGCGGGAGCAAACGTCTCACATGGTGGAAGTAGGAGCAAGAGAGAGAGGGGGAGAGGGATGTGCCACACACTTTTAAACAACGAGATTCCGCAAGAACTCACTCACTGTGGAGAGGACAGCACCAAGGCATGAGGGATCCACCCCCAATACCCAAGCACTTCCCACCAGGTCCCACCTCCAACATTGGGGATTACATATCAACATGAGATTTAGGGGGACAAATATTTAAGCCATGTCAACTATTGAACTGGAATCTATTCTAAAAAGCATCCATAATTTATAAACCTTCCACAAAGAAAAAGCCCAGAGACTTTCACCAGTGAATTATTCCAAATAATTAAGGAAGAAATAATGCCAATGTTACACAGGCTTTTCTAGAGAATATAAAAAGAAAGAACACTTCCCAATTCCTTTTACGAGACTAGCATAACATTGACAGCAAAACTTGACAAGGACATTACAAGAAAAAAGACAAGCCAATCTATTTTATGAATACAGATGCAAATATTCTAAATAAATGGAATTTAGCAATACATGAAAAAGGTAGTTCATCACAATCAAACTGAGTTCATTCTAGGAATTTAAGGTTGGTTTAACGTTTGAAAATTAATGTAATTTACCACATTCACAGAATAAAGAAAAAAACTCATATTTTCATCCCAATGGGTGCAGAAAAATATCTGATAAGATTCAACATCCATTCGTGATTTTTTTAGATGTCAGCAAAATTAGAAAGAAACTTCCTTAATTTAATGGTGTATATTTTTAAAACCTATGACAAACACTATATTTAACAATAAAATATTAAAAGCTTTACCCCTGAGATCTGGAATATAACAAGAATGCCAGCCATCACCACTTTAATTCAACTTTGAGCTAACCAATGGAACAAAATAAGGAAAAGAAATAAATGGTATAAGAAATGGAAAGGAAAAAATGAAATTGTCAGTATTCACAGATGACATGTAGAAATCCAGAAGAATACACATATGACTTATTAGAATTAATAAGTGAATTTAGCAAAGTTGCTGATACAAAATCCAAAAAAAAGTATTTTTATGTATAGTCACCCCCCCTTACCACTTTATCCATAGAGAATACATTCCAAGCCCCACAGTAGATGCCTGAAACATGGATAGTATTGAATCCTATATGTGGTATGTTTTCTTCTATACCTACATACCTATGATAAACTTAACCTTTTCACTTAAAGGAGGTACTTTATGGCTTTGGCATATCTGAATTACCAGCATTACTACTCTTACACTTTGGGACCATTATTAAATAAAATAAGGATTACTCGAACATATCAACTGTTGTGATACTGCAGCAGTCAATCTGATAAGCAAGACAGCCACTAAGTGATTAAATGGTCAGGTAGCATAGACATTGTAGACATGCTAGACAACAGGATGAGTCACATCCCAGGGCGGACAGAGCAGGTTGGCACAAGATTTCATCACTCAGAATGACACAGTTTAAAAGTCATAAATTATTTATTTCTGGAATTTTCCATTTAACATTTTTGGACCACAGTTGACTATGGATAACTGAAACTCCAGAAATCAAAAACACAGGTAAGAAAAGATTACTGTACCTACCAGCCAAAAAGAATTTGAAAATAAAACTTTTTAACATGACATAATTTTTAAATAACATTTTTATTTAAAAAATTAATACCATGAAATTAGTCTAATGAAAGATGTGCAAAACTCAATACACAAAGCAAGAAAACATTACTGAGGGAAAATAAAAACTTGGGTGGGAAAGGAAATTTTATAATTAAGTAATGGAAGACTCAACATTGCAAAGGCATCATTTTTCCTTTATATTGATCTATAGATTCCATGCAATCACAATCAAAAACCTTTGCTGAAATTTTTCAGTGAAAAATGACAAGATGATTCAAAAATTGTTAGGAAAATTCCAAGGGCCTACAATAGCCACTGCAATCTTGAAGGAGAACAACACTGGCAGTGTGCTGAGGAAAACATGATCTTTACATTAAATGGTTTCTGAGTAAATGAGATATTTCTTTTTTTTTTTTTTTAGACAGGGTCTCACTCTGTGGCCCAGGCTGAAGTGCAGTGGCACAATCTTGACTCACTATAGCCTTGACATCCTGGGCTCAAGCGACCTTCCCACCTCAGCCTCCAGAGTAGCTGGGACTACAGGCACACGACACCACACCTGGCAAATTTTTGTATTTTTAGTGGAGACAGGGTTTCGCCATGTTGCCCAGGCTGGTCTCAAACTCCTGGACTCAAGCAATCCACCCACCTTGGCATCCCAAAGTGCTGGGATTACAGGCATGAGCCACTGCACCTGGCCGATATCCCTATTTTTAAAAATGAATCTTAATCTCCCACTACATGTCATGCAAACACACATCACTTCCACAAAGACTGGATTCAAATGTGGAAGATAAAACAGCAAAGCTCCTAGATGATAACAAAAGAACATACCTTTACAACCTTTCTTACACAGAACATAAAAAAAATTAAACACAAAGGAAAAGATCATAAATTGGAATATATTATTCTTTTTATCAAAAGACAGCCTTTGTTCATCAAAAGGCAATTTTTTTAAAGACAATTTTAAGAGAGTGAAAAATAGAAGACATTTGCAACACAGATATTCAACAAAGGACTTATATTCTGATTATATTTAAAAAAACACTGGAAATCAACTTAAAAACCCAGCAACCAGTCTTAATTAATGGGCAAGATACTTATAAAAGAGGATATCCAAATAACTAATGAATGTATAAAATCGTATACAATATTATTAGTAATTACAAAAATCTACTTTAAAACCACAATGCGATGTCATTATACACCACCAAACTGGCTATTTTTTGTTACAAAACAGACTATAACAAGTGTGGGTGAGGATGTAGAATAATGGAAATTGTCCGTTGCTGCTGGTATGAATGCAAATGGATGAAACCACTTTAGAAAACAGTTTATCATTATCTACTAAATCTGAACATACACATACCCTTTGACCCGGCACTCCCACTTCAAGTTACATAGCTAACAGAAATACATGTTTATGAGCACCAAAGACACGTGCAAGAATATAGTACATAATTTGAAATAGCCAGAAACTGAAAACAGCACAAATGTTCATTATCAACAAACAGGATACATAACTTGGGCATATTCAGAATGAATTTGTTCTTGATCTTGTTGTACTTGTGAACTACAGCTATTCCCACAAGTATCTAACATAATGTTGAGAGAAAGAATCCAGACCCAAAAGGGCACTGGCTGTACGATTCCATTGCTACATATCTTATATAAAGATAGAATAAGTTACCTTTTGGGAAGGGATCCTGACCAGAAGACAGCAAGAGGAAAGCCTGTGGGGTGGTGGTAATGTATTCTTCACCTAAGTGATGGTTACATGGGTGTGTTTATTTAGTAAAAATTCAAAAGGGTTATATAAATATAATATATACAGTCGGCGGCCTCTGTATCCATAGGTTCTGCATCTGTGGATTCAACCAACTGCAGAATTAGCCGTTGTCTTTCCAGTGTTGGAGATGAATTCACACTGATTCATCTCTCTTTACTCATCTTCCACCCCTACCCCCACCCACCAATAATCATGGCCATTTATTTTACTATGATCAGGCAAAGATGGGCTGCAGTATTTGTCTCTGAAGAGGACAAAGGTGACTGGCTCCTGTGGTGCTTTAGGACCAGCTTTCCTGACTCCCAGTCTTACTCTACTTTGGGAAGGCAGTCTGGACAGGAGACACAGCCATGGAAGTCACCAGCACATGGATGGTAGTGAAGACCTGGTTCTAGAAGAGCTCACGCTGAGCATGCAAGTGTGGGGTGAGGAGACGGCTGAGGCTAGAACACTGGATGGAAAATGCCAGCATTTAAAGAGTAAACAACTAGAGATGCCATAAGACAGAAATTAGGAGAGGGCCATTCTAATGAGTCTGCACATTCTGCTCCAGGAAAAGTCTGAATCTGTGACTATGAGCCCAAGGAGCACAAAGGAGTGGTAGAAGCAGGTCCAGGTCTGAATCTCAGCCATCCAGCAACAGGTGCTGAGAGAAGGAGAAGCAAGCACAATGTCTTTGTTCCTGGAACCAGTTCCAAAAACAAAATGACATTGTCCTCTCCCTCTTCTGCAGCACAAAAGCAAACTGTCACTGAGCAGATGCTTCCCATGGGTCTCCCTTCAGTGGCCCTGGGGCAGAGAATGGCTCCACCCAAATATGGGCAGCTCTGAGTGCAATCCTAGGATGGCGCAATAGTTCCAACTCTAATGCGCTAGTGGCTCATTAGGACTAAATTAGTCCACAGCTACTAATACTCATTTGTCATGAACAGTAAATGCAAGATTCGATACACTCGCAGGGCACACAGACCCAGAAAGATCTTCCCAGAGGGAGGTGGGGAGGTGGGAAGATGGCTCTGCCCTGCCTTGCCATTCAGACACCTCTATTTCTACTTTGGGCCTTCCTCTTCACCCTGGTTTAACCTCAGAAAATTCATAACCATGTGAAAAAGAGTAAATAAAATAAAATGAAGACAGCCCCTGTATTTTATTTTATTTTATTTTATTTATTTATTTTTTGAGACAGAGTCTTACTCTGTCACCCAGGCTGGAGTGCAGTGGCACGATCTCGGCTCACTGCAAGCTCCGCCTCCCGGGTTCACGCCATTCTCCTGCCTCAGCCTCCAGAGTAGCTGGGACTATAGGCGCCCGCCACCACGCCTGGCTAATTTTTTTGTATTTTTAGTAGAGACGGGGTTTCACCGTGTCAGCCAGGATGGTCTCGATTTCCTGACCTCCTGATCCGCCCGCCTCGGCCTCCCAAAGTGTTGGGAATACAGGCGTGAGCCACCGCGTCCGGCCTTTTAACCTCAATTTTTATTCTCAGGTTTCTAAACTTACTCTACTGAACATCTCTTGGAGCAAATGACTTGCCCTCCAAAAATACACCACCAGACACTCCTATTGGAATCATCTCCCTTGAACACCCCTTTCATCCTGACGTTGGCTCCTTGTTCTCTCCAATGTTAATTGTGAACTCTATTCCCTCCAACTTCTAGCCTCTCCTTATCTGCTCACCTGCTCTCACTGCTCCCAAGCAGCGATGTCTCCTTAGAGGCAACCTCTCTCTGTATGCCTGTGTCCCCCACCCTCACCAACCATTGCCTCATCTTCAACTCGAGCCTCATCGCTTCTCTTTCCCTTCAAACGCCTCCACATAATTGAAGCTGTCACTAACCCACCTGACACTCCCTGCCTTCTGAGATCTTGTAGCATCACACCTGCACTACATAATTTGCGCTTCATTATATTCGATGGAGCACGTGGGGAATCTTTTAAAATATGGCCAATTGTGGGCCCAGAGTATTTCCAGGGAAACCAGCAGGCCATCTCCTAAAAAACCTTAGAGGGTGACATTCATTAGCTTAAAAAATATTTTAAAAATGGTTCAGAATTTCTCTCCTGGACTTGCAGGCTCAGACACCAAATGTGCCATCATACCATGAGTAGACTATTTCTTAGGAAAGACTTACCTTACCCAGGCCCATAAGATCCTCTGGTCATTTGTCATAAACAGTAAATGCAAGAGGCGATGCACCTACTGGATACACAGACTCAGTGAGATCTTCCCAGAGGGAGGTGGGAAAGTGACTCTTCCCTGCCTTGGCCTTCAGGCACCTCTATTTCTATGCCAGGCCTGTCTCTTCACCCTGATTTAACCTCAGAAAATTCATAACCATGTGAAAAGGAGAAAATAAAATAAAGATAGTGCCAGTACAGAAGAGTGGTTATGAGTTTAGACACCAACGCCAGACTGCCTGGATTCAGACTGACTTTACTACTTGCTAGCTTGGGCCAAGTACAGAGCCTTTCTGGGCTATATTTCCTTGTTTGTTAAATAGAGATATTAATAGATAGTAACATCCTCAAAGATTGTGGTGATGATTAAATGAGCGATAACTGTTGTGAGGATTAAATGTGTAAAGTGCTTGGAACAAAGCCTTGCACCTAGTAAGCACTCAGTAGAGGTTAGCTATTATTTTTAATTAAACCAGAGGAGTAGTTTATTGATTTATGATTTCGAATATAAGTGTTGCAAAGAAGTTATAAACTCTAGCCAGCCTAGCCTCTGCTTAGTAAACATGGACCAAGAGCAAGAACTTTTTTATGGGATTCAAATAATGAGAAGCAATAGAGAATGATGCTTTTAATCCTGGCTCCAGTACTTAACTGTGTAAACTTGGGTGGCCTATTTAATTTCTCCAAGCCTCAGTTTCTTCATCTGTAAAACAGAGATGGTGATAGGATCTTCATCACAGGGTTATTATTAAGATTCACGGAGAAAGTCCACATAGGGCTTCGCACTGCGGCCCAGCACATAGAAACCATTCAATATATAATAGGTCTTGTTAATATTTAGCGTCTTGAAACAATCAGCCCCTCCTTCTCTCTTTTCCATGTTTTATTTTCTTCAACACCCAGATCTCATCTTTTGACACTTTGATCTGTATGCACATTCATAAAGAACTTTCAAAGAGCCTAGATTACCACAGAGAAGACCTGCTCATCTGTAGTGTAAAGACAGGTGCCCAGTGGAAAGACCCACACTTTAGTGTGATCCTGACATATGATTTGTGTTACATTGGGCTGGATACTTAACATTAGACTCATTTTTCCTCATCTTGAGAGATCAATAGTCAATCAATATGAAAGTGATTTTAAAAGTTTAAGGTACTATACAATGTCAAAAACTATTTTATACCATTACTTGAAAAAGAACACACAGTGACGGGAAACATACTGGACCCCAAAATACAAGACTTGGATTCCACATCTGCAAACTAGAGATACTAATAATGTTTTAATGGCACTAGCTGAGGTGAAATGAGGGATGTAAAGCTCTGAGAAAAGACAGATTCTATAGAAATGGCAAACAGAATGTAATCCTAGTGTGGGAGGGATATTGAGGCACCTCACTTCTGGCGACTCAGAATTTAGGTGAGCAATGAAGCACAAAATGAACCCAGAATTTGCTCCTTAGATATTTCCTTGTCTTTCCCCCATCTATTACTATGGCCAGCTCCCCAACTAAGAACCAAGGACTGAAACCCAAGTTTGTCAGGAATCCGATTCTTATTTCTCATTTATCTGTACTTAGGTTCATTAGAGACTCAGGACTGGGTTTTCTTCCATGCCTGGAAAATATTATATCCACCAGTCACCTGCAAGTATGAACACTGAACTTCAAAGCAAACGACTGAGTCCGAAAATAGATTCTTTCTCCAAAGGGCACTAATAGAAGATTTGCCCCAAAGTTTTGAAATCCAGAATGCCTGGAACATCCTTGTGGAGTCATAACTAAGCAGGCATACTGCAAAAGGCCTCACAGCTCCAACGTCTATGCATATTATGGGACAGAACTCCCATTGACCTAAGAATAGTCATGTTGGCTGACAACCAACGTCCTCCTACTTGTCTTCTGGGTATGACGGGTGTTAAAATGCAAAATGCTCCAAAATAACTATACGTCAAAGTTCTCAGTCATTTGCAGCTTACTGTTAATAAGTATCAGATCTTTTTGTGAAGAAGTGTTACCTTTTCAAGGGGGAAAACCCTACACTAAATCAAAAAGCAGTGGACACTAACCACTTTACAATTTTCCTTTGGTCAGGCCTCAAATTGTTGCTACTGATTCAATTAATTCCAAAGGACCGCTTCATATTATGGAACCACTTCACTTAGGAGAGAGCCTTCCCTTTTTATCTTTAAGAGAAGTAGCACTGCAGTTTTGAATTTGACCATCTGAACAGTAAGAAATGGAATGCATCAGTTTACTTGAAAATTATACTTGGTCAGAAAAATATCTTAAGAAAAATTGTAATGTTTCATCACAGTAAAAGATAAATTGTAATCCCACAGAATACTGAGTAGATAAAAGAAAATTAGAAGAACCTAGAAATGTCCATTTATTTCCTTACTTGAATTGAGGCAGATGAATTATTTTCTACAACCAAAAACGTACAAGTCCACAAAGAGGTTCTTGCCGGGCGCGATGGCTCACGCCTATAATCCCAGCACTTTAGCAGGCCTAGATGGGTGGATTGCCTAAGCTCAGGAGTTCAAGACCAGCCTGGGTAACATGCCGAAACCCCATCTCTATTAAAAATACAAAAAATTAGCTGACCGTGGTGGCACCCACCTGTAGTCCCAGCTACTGGGACGCTGACACATGAGAATCGCTTGAACCTGGGAGGCGTGAGCTGAGATTGTGCCACTGCATTTCAGCCTGGGCGACAAGAGAGAGACTCTGTGTACAGGTCCACAAAGAGGTTCTCTGAGTAGGGAAAACAAAAAAAGCAGCCCTTTAAAGATCTGGATTTTATCAAAAGTGAGGGAAACTAGAAAGTATCTGTGTCCAGGTATCACATTCAAAACTGCAATGTCATTCCTCGTAGAGATAAAACGGAAGGTTGTCTCCTAAGTGAAATGGTTCCTCAGCTTGATTTTCGAATGAGGCTTGATTTGGGAGTAGCAGCGAACTTCATTGAGCAAAGCTAGCCCAGACCTGGCCATAGCATTGGAAAATGCCCCAGAAGGGCCCCAGAGATGAGGGCTGTAGTTTTGCCTGAATAACAGGGGAAATGAGGGCCTTGAGAACTCATATCTTGCGAGGCTACTTCTTGAGAAAACAAATATGACAAAAGGCTGTTAGCAGCTTTAAGATGTAGAAAGGGTTCCCAAGTCTGTAGCAAGCTCAGTAAGGAACCTCAGTGGCTATTTGCCAAAATCAGAAGAATCATCTGAAATTATGCATGGGAAAGAGGACAATTAAGGTGTCTTGACTGGGCACTCCCATTCCTAGCAGGAAGTACAGCAAGTCTTCCTTCCTCACTGTGGCAGACTGAAGCTTCAGAATGTGTATTAGAGCTCTGCAATACAAGGAAGAGAGCAAGTTGAGCTCCATTGCAGGACATTGCAGCTATCAACTGGTGGTCATTAAAATAAAATAAAGCTTCTCAGTTTGCAAAATCACATTTTATGTGAATTTTTCATATTCAAGTTTGTAATTTGGTTCCCTGAATGGCATTCTATGTTTGGCACCTGGTGTCTTGGGTGGAAGTTCCCAAGTCTAACCAGAATCACAGGAGGAAGGGAATGTGAGGTTGTGGAGGCTGGGGAAAAAGGTGCAAGAACCACTGAATCATCATCCCTAGGGTGGGACTTGGAAAGGAGTACATACGTCCCCAAAAGATTTATACCACTGTGCTTATATAGCTCCATTCCTCACAGCCCCAAACTGAAAACAAATCAACTTTTCAAACAACAGGAGAATAGGTAAACAAATTTGGAATCGAATAAAATAACTCATGGCAATAAAATAAACAAATCACTGAGACTTGCAAAAATACGGATGAATTTTGAAAGCATCATATGGAGCATAAGTGCAAACTGAATGATCCCATTCTTACAAAGTTCAAGTAAAGGCAAAATTAATCTATGGTGATAGAAATCAAAGAGAGGTAACTTTTGAATACAAAGCGGTTTTGACTATAAAGAGACATGAGAGAGCTTTCTGGAGTGATAATTATATAAATATTTATGTACGCAAAAATTCATTGAACTATGTTTCAGATTAGAGCACTTTCCTGTGTATAAATTACCTTGTTTTAAATTTACTTTTCAAAAGAAATATTATTTAATAAGAAAGAACAATCTGTACTTTAAAGGTTTGGTAACTCCTTTCCACTACACTAAATATTTTGCCTTAAAAAAAAGTTTGACAACCCACACACACATGCACACTCATTCCCCATCCTCCTACTTGACATAATGTTGAATACTGAATTAGTCTTGAATAACTTACACTTTCATAAAAGAAGCTCTTCATTCTGGAATCTATGCAGTTCACTAAACTGTACTGTTCACATTGCTTTCATCATGTTAAAATTCTCAACAGCTATTTCATTATTTCTTACTAGGTCTTGTAATAAAAACAGGTGTCAGTATGCATCCAAATGCAAACCAGCTCCACCCAGGAAAATCATAACCTTGCTTTTAACTATATTGTAAATTTTTGTATAGATGTCATGTTTTCAATTACTTTTAAGTTTTAAGAGTTAACTTACACAAATGTTTTCATCTATGGCTTTTCTCACTGTAATTCGTTGAGTCCCCTTGAATTACTGCTCAAGTGTTTTTAGCTTTCATTGTTTAAAAAAATTGGATAACTTCACATTGCAAGTTGGTTGTGCAACCAATCACCACAATGGTTTCATTTTACACACAGTATGACACCGCTGGTGTTTCTGGGGCTTCATGGCTTCTGCCCATCCCATTGACTGCTGCTCTGTGTTCCAATTAGCCTCACCTCCTGTGTTTTCGCTTCTCTCCTCCCACCCTAGCCATCAAGCACAACAAGGAAGTTCATCTGACCTCCCAAGAGCTTTCACGTGTTTCTCAAGGAGCTGCTTTGTGGATCAAATCTTTCCATTCCCCTCCTCTTTCTCTGCTATTCTTTCCCACCAATGCTGATTGATTAGAATTTTGCAGCTTTAAAAAGAATAAGGTGGCAATTACATCGTCTCCAATAAATATTTTTCTCCCACATCTTGTTACCTGAGGAGCAGGTCAGCTGAAAATATGCATTTTCCATTGGTAAGGGGTCAGTTCTGCATATGCTGTAATTTAGTTTATATCTGGTTTGCAACACACACCTGCAGTTCCAAATGAAACCCCAAAAGAGACTGACAAGTACTTTTATGAAATAAACAGGAAAGAACATAACCTAGCAAACCTTCCAGAGCCCAATAGTCTCCAAATATATGACTATTTCAGTGACAAATGTAGCCAAATATTAAATAAGGAATTGAAACATTTTTAAGTGTTAAAGAGAAAGCACTCTTATTTATTACAGCTCATCTCCACAGATCTGAACTCATATGTATCTTCAGGTCTTCTCTTAGGATTCTGAGACTCCCAGACTCACAAACCTATAACTTAAACACAGCTGGAGCTTGCTCGCTATTCTGGTTTTATATTCCTAGATCTCCTTAATTCTCATGACTCTAAGAGGACCGCTTACTCACCACATCTGTTCAAGGAGAAACCAAATGCTTTGTGCCTTTCCTACCAGCCAAAGCACCTTCAGTAGAGTTTTCAGACACGGCTTTCAGAAGCAAAATGCATAGTGTACTGGAGACACATCTAACACTTCCATAATTTTAGATACAGCAGTAGTGTCAATGAAGAGTGAAGAAAAAAAATGTTTGTGAAATTGCCAGCCTATCAACTCTCAACAAATTTGCCACTCACCTAAACCCTACTTTGGTCTAATGGCCAGCTACTTGAACAGATGGCTCCTTTGCTTATCAAAATAACATCTGTCAATCCTGGCAAGTGAAGAATTGTATCTGTGTGTCCTCTTCCAATGCTACAACTAATTTATTAGGGTCTTAAATTCTTTTTGATGGATTAAGAGTCCTGGTGAGCACAAACAAGCCATTAGATTGACAGCAAAATTTTTCCACACTATAATGATTCACTAATGTGTTGACTGCTATCACACAATAATCAATTAGAAAACTTAAAGAATAGAAAATCTGAACTATTTTTAATGTGTTTTTTCCTCTTTTCACATTGAGATCACTTACATACAATAAAATGCATAGGCTTTGAGCGATGAACTTTGACAAATGCGTATATCCATGTAACCATAATGCTGGTCAAGACAAAAAGCATTTCCATCAGCACTAAATGTCCCCGTGTGTCCCTTCCAGTCAACTCACCACCACCACCCAGAGGCAATCACTGTTCTAATCCTAGTACCATAGAGTAGGTTTGCCGGTTCTAAAGCTTCATGTAAATGGAATCATACAGTTTGCACTCTTTTATATCTGACTGCTTTCGCTTGACATGTTTTCAAGATTCATCCATGCTGTGTTTATCCATATGTTATTTGTTTATTATACGGATATACCACAGTTTGTGTTTTCTTTTCTTATTTTAAAAATTAAAAGAATGCTTTATGAGTTTGCGTGTCATGCTTGCGCAGCGGCCACGCTAGTCTTCTCTGTATCGCTCCAATGTTAGCATCTGTGCCGCTGAAGCCAGCACTACCACAGTTTGTTTTCCACCCTCCTGGGAATGGACTTTTGGGTTTTTTCCAGTTTGAGGCTATGAGAACTACAAGTCTTCAGGTGAACATATGCTTCATTTCTCATAGGTAAATACCTAGGATTGGAGTTGCTGAGTCATAGGGTAGTCCTAAGGCTTAACTTTGTAAGAAATTGCCTGGCCAGGCATGATGGCTCGCGTTTGTAATCCCAACACTTTGGGAGGCTGAGGTGGGCTGATCATTTGAGCCCAGGAGTTTTGAGACCAGCCTAGGAAACATGGCAAAATCCTGTCTCTACAAAAAAATACAAAAATTAGCTGGGTGTGGTGTCACAGGCCTGTAGTCCCAGATACTCAGGAGGCTGAGGTGGGATGATCACTTGAGCCCAGGAGGCAGAGGCTGCAGTGAACTAAGATTGTACCACTAAACTCCAGCCTGGGTGACAGAGCTAGACGTTGTCTTAAAAAAAAGAAACTGCTGAACTTTTTTTTTTTACATGAACACTTCCATGTCCACTGATGCCCACATGCCAGCCTCAGCCACAGGCCAACTCTTTTTTTTTTTTTTTTTTTGAGATGCAGTCTCACTCTGTTGCCCAGGCTGGAATGCATGATCTCGGCTCACTGCAACCTCTGCCTCCCGGGTTCAAGTGATTCTTCTGCCTCAGCCTCTTGAGTAGCTGGGATTACAGGCGAGTGCCACCACGCCCAGCTAATTTTTGTATTTTTAGTAGAGTAGGGGTTTCACCATGTTGGCCAGGCTGGTCTCGAATGCCTGACCTTGTGATCCACCCGCCTCAGCCTCCCAAAGTGCTGGGATTACAGGCTTGAGCCACTGCGCCTGGCCGCCACAGGCCCACTCTTAAAAAGATAATGCATAATATAAGATTTTGTTTTTCTTTTCTTTTGTTTCTTTCTGCTCTGACAGGTAACTTTGATTGTCATTGACAGTTTTAAGAATTCAGTACCAACCACTGAAAGGGTATGAATATCCTTGCTTAAAGAAAGTTAAAAAGACCAGCTGTAGTGGCTCACGCCTGTAATCTCAGTACTTTGGGAGGCTGAGGCAGGTGGATCACTTGAGGTCAGGAGTTTGAGACCAGCCAGGCCAACATGATGAAACCCCATCTGTACTAAAAATACGAAAAATTAGCCGGGCGTGGTGGTGGGTGCCTGTAATTCCAGCTACTTGGGAGGCTGAGGTAGGAGAATCTCTTGAACATGGGAGGCGGAGGTTGCAGTGAGCTGAGACCACGCCACTGTACTGCAGCCTGGGCAACAAGAGCAAAACTCCATCTGAAAAAAAAAAAAAAAAGTTAAAAAAACAAAAGTGCTCCAAAGAAGACTTAACTCTTCAGACCAGGCCTTCAGAGGCTCTGCCAATAAAGAGATGCTATGTTCATTGTTGCAAACACATCCATTCCCGGGTTACCCTCTGAACTTAGGCAGCGGGAAACTTTTTTTTTTAATATTACCACTTGGTTTTAGCAGTGAAATCACTGCTAAAAGGGGGGGTATTGTGCAAATTAACATTATAATTAAATGCTTGGTACTAAAGTAATCTTGGACAAGTCTTTCCCTTTGTTTCTGCTTTGGAGACTTGGGGTTCCCCAAATCCTCTTGGGTGGCATTCAATGGCCAGCCCTGGCATTAGAGGGAGGACAGTTGTTCATGTTAAGACAGCTCCGGTTTTGCATGATCAGCAGCCATGCTCTACATGGGATTAAGATTTATCCCTTTGATAATATGAAAAACAAGTAAACAAAAGGCACTGCTTGAAAATAATGATTTACCACAGAACATATTTTGCTTTAGTCAAACCTTTTTTTCTTCCTAAGGAAAAAGTGTGTGGGCTTATCTCTTGAAAATGCCAGCATGGTTGTGAACACTGGGGAAATTAAAAGACTGAATACAATAGATTTCTTATGTATGCCTATGCAGGGAGTTGCATAGCTTATTTATTAAGTTGTGTGCTAGGGGAGGATTATCTGCTTTGAACTTATCTATTACTTTGTGACAGTGATTTTTAAATATGGGGTAGTTTTGTATTGTACAAAGCCAAGTTCAAATGGAATCTTAAACTTAATAACTTTGGGAGCTTTGGCTATGACTTAGAATTTGGAAAATCAGAGATATAAACATTGTCTCCACCACCACCCCTTGCCCAGAAAAGGAAAGAATTTGATGATATTCTATAGCCTTTTGACATAGCATCAATTATTCTTTCATAAAAATAGAAGTCAGTAGAACATTAGTACAGGTGTCTAGAGTAATGAATGCTGCCTAGCAAGGTTGATGGTCAGTACATCCCCATTTACTGCAATAGCCAAAAAAGAACTAAGACAGAGATGTCTCTGTCATGTGAGAAAGAGATGCACACTCTGGAGTCACATATTACAACAGGGAAACAATGGACACAATTGTGACTATCAGTGCAGCTTTCAGCTCAGTTCAAAGGCAAGAGTGGTCTCATTTATTAAATGGGATAGTTATGACCTGGTGCCTTGAAGTTTTATGCCACCAGCTAATACTCTGCACCAAAGACACTTCTTGTTTTTAACATGAAAAGTATGCAATAGCTATTAGCCGGTCTTCAGAATATTGCTCAGAATCTAAGTTAATGCTATTACTCTTATTTTATTTGAGGAGAATAAAGAGAATACATATACAGAGAATAAAGATATCTATTGACCTTCAAGAATGCTTGCCGCTTGTCCTGATCAAACTTATACTTTTGACCAAAAATATGAATCTCTACAAAGACTTTGTGAAATACTTTGTGATAGCTCTTTTAAATGACATTATCAAATATCTGTTCATTTTGGACCAAAACATAGAATGTGCAACATTAAAAATAGGATGGATTTTGTCCTGCCCTGATCCCAGCAGTTATGCCTGCAACTCCTGCAAAGGTAACCCTGTTATTGCCTCTTGACAATAACCCAGTTGGACAAGATATTTTATTAGAAAATTCTTTTGGAATGCATGGGCCTCTTGCTATTAGAAAATACTTTCTAACTAAAGAAAAATTTATTATTTCCATCGAAGGGAATGAGTGACCTATTATTTCAAAGCAGCATCCTTTCTTCCACAGATAAGTCAGTCAATATTTATTTTCATTCAAGAATCAGAGTTCCAAGCTGGCATAGTCTTACACGTATGGTCATGGTTTTGATAGGTACTAGGAAACACAAGTGTAATGAAACTCATCCCCAGAACCTGCTCAGCCCTGGGCAAACTGGTATGGTTAGTCACAGTATTTTAATAGCCAGCAAGGAACCAACAGTCCAAAATCCCTTTCTGACACCCCTTTCAGAATCTAAAAGTATCTTATTAAAATGAATCTCCTTTTAGTTCCAGAGTTCATATCATACTTCTAAATGATGCAGAGTAGCAGGTATATTTGCTTCTAGGGATGCCATAACCAGATGACTTAAAACAACAGAAAGGTATTCATTCACAATTCTGAAGGCTAGAAGTTCAAAATCAAGGTCTTGGCTGGATCGTCCTCCAAAGGCTCTGGAAAATAATCCTTCCTTGCCTCTCATATCTTCTGGTGGTTGCTGGCAATCATCGGCATTTCTTGATTTGTGGCAGCATCACTCCAATCTCTCCTTTTGTCTTTACATGGCCTTCTTCCCTGTGGGTCTATGTCTCTCTGTGTCTCTCGTCTTCTTATAAGCATACCAGTTACACTGGATTTAGTGTTCACCCTAATTCAATAGGACCTCATTTTAACTTAACTTATTACATCTATGGTAACATTCACAGTACAATAGAGTGAATGCATCCCCCACCCAATCCATATGTTAACCCCAAGGTGATGATATTAGGAGGTGGAGCCTTCAGGAAGAAATTAGATCATGAGGCTGGGGCCCTTATAAATGGGATTAGTACCCTTATTAAAGAGTTATCTTGTCCCTCTCGGCGCCATGTGAGGATTCAAAGGGAAGTTGCAGTCTACAACCTGGAAGAGCGTTCTCACCAGCACCTGACCATGCTGGCACCCTGATCTCAGACCTCCAGTCTACAAAACTGTGAGAAATGAATTTATGCTGTTTATAAGCCACTCAGTCTATGGCACTTTGTTATAGCAGCCCCAACAGACTAAGACACACAGGTACCTGCAATTAGGACTTCGATATAGCTTTCAGGGGACACAATTCAACCCATAAGAGCAAATTACCCCCATCTTCACGATTCCAGTGGTTCTCACCTCTGAACACACATTAGAATTACTTGAGGTAGTGTTAAAAACCAAAAACAATGCCCCCTCCCTTCTCCCCACTGCCATAAATTAAATCTTAATATCTAGAGCAGGGGTGGCCAATCTTTTGGCTTCCCTGGGCCACACTGGAGGAAGAATTATCTTGGGCCATACATAAAATACACTAACACTAACGATAGCTGATGAGCAAAAGCAAAAAAAAAAATTGCAAAAAACTCTCATAATGTCTTAAGAAAGTTTATGAATTTGTATTGGGCTGCATGCAGCCTGTGGGCTGTGGGTTGGACAGGTTGGACAGGCTTGATCTAGAGGAAGCCTGGATGCCATTATACTTTAAAGCTCCTCAGGTAATCCTCATACACAGCCAGTGTCAATAACCCCTCACAACCTTGAGGAATGATATCTGTAGCTAAACACAAGAAGGACTACTAAAAACGGCTTTTACTATGACTTCCTCTGTCCAAAATGTCCCCTCCAAGTCAGCCTGGTTTTAAGATGTAACTCAAACTCTTGCAACTTTTTTAGTAAATGCTGAACTGACAGTAAAAACATATATTTTAACACTAAGAAAGCTCCCAACAATCTACTTCACCCAAAAGAAAAAGTATATGGTGATTTAATCTCAAAAGTCAATTTTTTTAAATGTAAAGTTAATCTAAATACCTATTTAACTGTTTTGACTGACCTGAAACTTGTCTTAGAGCAAGACAAGTTTCTTGAACATGAATGTTCATGTTGTTCTTTCCAGGGATACTAATAAATATTTTCAATTAGAAGAAACTGTGACCTTTCTAAGACGAATGTCAACCAAGAATGCAAACTTATTTACAATAAATGATTTAGGGGAAAGAATTCCTGGTTTCAGATAAGTGAGGTTTTTCTCCTATACTTTCTCATTGCTTAGTGTTTTCCTCTCTGCTTAAGCTGGAGCTAGGAAGGTCTTTTTTGCTATTTGTTTCCTCACTCTCATTACTAGTTTTTTTTTTTTTTTTTTAATTAACGTTTCCAAGAAATCACATTTTCTGAAGGATACTCATGCTGAGATGACCGGCAGCGAGCCAGTGAGATCCTATTATATGCTGGATGGGCCAAGAGGACCAAGTAAAAATGAAACAGGATGTTCATTTAAGCAAATCAAAGATACTCTCTCACGCACCCATCCTATTTCTTTTCTCTGGGCTCTGAATATCCACACACCCGCAGTGCTTTCATCAAGGCACTTTTCTTTCCTGCCAGATCTGGAAGGGGAAAGATTCACTTCTCTTTCCCAAAGTGTCAACTTTTGTTGTTATTGATGCCGCCAAGCCTGCAATTACTTGATGAAGCTAATGGGCAAAAGCACTTAAAGGGCCACGCTTAGTGGTTCCATTGTCATAATCCATGTAAAATGAACCAGAGCCAACACAGCCTGACAAGCTTTCAGCCTATTATTATTGGGGGCTTATTTAAATTGCAGGTTTGATTAAATTTATAATTTAGCCATTCTACTTAGCACATTTTCCTTTTCTTTTAAAACTAACCCCAAGAGAGACATTTACAAAATTCCTTTCTCCAGCTGTCAGATGTGAAAAATGTCAGTGGCGTGGGTGGTCAGAGAGAGGGGTTGAAGTGTACTTAGAATAGTAAACTTAAATACAAATGGAATTTCACAGCTAACTATTCTTTACTGCTTTGTCAACGGATACAGCATATGTATTTATTCTTGTTTTAACTCCCCTATTAATCCTGCCATAGCACTGGGAAAAGAGTGCTGTGAAAAGCAAGTTCCCGTATAATCCTCTTCTCTCTTTCTTATCCTGATTAGATAAGCCTTTAACAAAGCATAAAGTATTTAAAGCTACTGCATTAAACACTAATATTTTAGCTGAAGAGTAAGGATATCACTTCAGATGGCCTTCTCTGGAAGAGAACAGTATTTCCCTGAGAAGTCAGCAACATATAAATATGTTTAAGACAGTTATCTCTTAGGCCATTCAAAATGTGCACCATCAAAAGTGATAACTAATGACACCCTCACGCAAATATTTTATTGCGGCAAATGTGAAGGTATCGTGCAACAAAATAAAATCTAATATGTATGATACATAGCAAATTTCATTATTCATTTCTTCAAACAATAATTACAGGGCATGGACCCAGGGCCAAACACCATGCTAAGTGCTGGGAAAACACAGACGCAGCCTCAGTGATGAACTGGGAAAATAGGCATGGAATGGATAATTATAAGAGATTCTGATTAAGTTCTGTAAGAAGACTGTGTACCTTGCTGAAAATGACCAGAGAAATGGAACTCTATGTCTCTGCCTCATTGTGGGGGTCGCAGGCAGGTTGTGAAAGGCTTGAAACAAGAGATGACTTGGGCATAGATCTTTAAGAATAAACTATTTCAAAATTAGTCAGCCAGGGAAGGGCACTGCAAGGAACAGCAGATACAAAAAGTATGGGGTCATGAAAGGGGGAGGTAGATGCAGGCGAAAGTTTGAAATTTAGCCTGAGTAGCTGTGGAGTGTCAGAAGAGAAGTAGGAGATACAGAAGGCAGTACAGATGGAATCATGAAGAAGTTTATGTGTCAAGCTAAGTAGTTTGAGCTTATCTTCTGAGCCGAAGGTTGTGTAATCAGGTGGCTCTTAGACATAGTTAATGGTTCCACATTGTGTTGTTTTGTTTCCGTTTATTTTTAAATATTGAGCTAATATTTAAAACTCAGGAGTTTCCCCCAAAAGAATCTGATGTCTGGCTTTTTTATTTTTAACATAGAACTTCTGCCAACACTATGCCTATATTTCCACAAGGATTTATTTATTTATTTATTTATTGTTTTTTATTTATTTTATTTTATTTTATTTTATTTATTTTGAGACAGAGTCTCGCTCTGTCGCCCAGGCTGGAGTGCAGTGGCGCAATCTCGACTCACTGCAAGCTCCGCCTCCTGGGTTCAAGCCATTCTCCTGCCTCAGCCTCCCAAGTAGCTGGGACTACAAGCACCCACCACCACGCCCGGCTACTTTTTTTGTATTTTTAGTAGAGACGGGGTTTCACCATGTTAATCACCTGGATCTCAGTAGCAGCTGGCTTCCCCACACAGGACACACAGTTTGCCACAGTCCCTACCATTCCCTATAGTCTTTCCAGTATGAACAATGAGTGTTAGCTGCCATTTATCATTGAACATGACCTTCTTTTCCTTGTAGTAGAGAGAAATGTTTCTCTGTACCCATATCTCTATCACAGATGGGGAAATAAGAGATGGTGAGGGGACACATGATTACTCACAGCCTAGTCATTTATGTTACCTGCCTGGCTTCTAAAGTTTACAACCCTAGGTTTATAATCCCTGCCCTAGACAGAATGAAGGTAATGACAAGATGAAATATCTTTTTCTAATAAGTTTTAGGGCTTTGATTGGAGCATTATTAAGTACTATCTGACTACAGAACTCAAAATATTTGAGTCCTGTCTTAGACTTTCTTCCCAGTGATCATCTTGAGGGAGACAAACTCCCATGTGATGAAAGAAAATGGAAAGCATGATCCATTTCATCATTATACACTGGGCTTTTGCCCACTATCCCATTGCAGAGCTTTTTTATTAAACCGGGCTAAAGCACATGGTTTAGGCTTAACACAGACAGGGCATCGCTAGGCCTCTTCCAGCTGGGCAGGGCTCAAGTGATAGTAACAGTCCTACAGAGTGCTTCAGAGGAAGAGAAACAGTAAGGTGGCCACATCTGGACTAGTAGGTTCTGACTCAGCTTACCCACTGGGACAGGACAGGACAAAAGAGTCATATTCATGGACATGGTCCTGCATATTTATAAGGTTAGCCCAACCATGTGTGGGAATTTGACTGCCCCTGTGCCTGAGACCTTCAAAAAGGAAACTCTGGTTACAGTGTGAAGAAGGTGGCTTGGGAATGGGGAGACTGATCACAGGAACATAAGTGAGTAGGCAAATTCAGTTGTCTATGCAATAAATGGCACCTCATAACATCAAGGCTGGGTGGAAACAATTTGTGTTTAACAAATGGTACAAATAGAACAGCAGGGTAGCTAAACCTGGTACCATCTCCCCGGTACACCTCCTATGCACTGCACAGGTTACCTCAGCTCCATATATATGCCACTAGATTCTAAACGAGGAAAATTAAGGGGGCAAGACAAAAATGGGTCCCTGTGGAGTATCACTTTGTACTGAAATTAGACTTGACAGAGGTCTCAGAGAAGCCCATTAGGAGATTAGATGCCCAACCAGGGCACAGTTTGAGGGAAAGGGGAACATTTTGTTGACAAAAGGTCTCTGCTGCCTCTGTCATAACTGGAAGGGAGGCAGATCCACCTTCGGGAAATAGACTGCTCGTCCCACATAGAGACACCAGTAGCAAAGGCCAGATTGCATGTGTCTCCCTAAGAGAGGGAGGCTTGGGTCAAACACTACAAGCAGATCAGGTCAGAATCTGGCACAGTCTTCCCAAAGCACGCAGCCAGAGGAGGGCAAGTGCAACTCTCCCCACGGCCATATAGGACCGACTGCTACTTGGCTCTAACTCCCCAGACTCCCATTTGAGTAAGGAGAGTGCTCGGCTGCCGTAGCAGAAACACAGACTTTGGGGTGGCTTAAGCAGAGATGGGCTTATTTGCCTCATGCTACAGAAAGTCCAGCAAGAGCAGCCCAGAGCTGATGCAGTGGCTCAGCCACGTAGCCAGGGATGCTACATCCCTCCTCCATCCTTAGCTTCTTGGCTTGTCACTTTATGGTTGTCAGCAAGAGGTTGCAGCCTCCCTACCCCATCCCCAGCTTCAGGTTCACATTCAAGGCAGGATGCTATCTACAGACAGGAAAGAGAATAAAGCAACTTCTCGAAGACAAGCAGAGATAAAAGGAGGAGCCCATGGCATAGCCTGTCAGCCTCCTAGATCTCCCAAATATGCAGCTCAATTCCTACCCATGCATTTCTGACAACACCCAGTATCCATACAATAAATGGGGAAATGAGTATTATTTATCTTTATAATAAGAATGGTCACACATTTACATAAGAAAATCACAATGTTTTCTTTATTAAACATTTTTGAGTGCCAGCTATGTGCCAGGCAGGGTACTAGGTGCTGGGAACAAACAGGTGAACAAGATAAACACAGTTCTGCCCTCCTAAAGCTTACAGTCCAGTTAGAGGAACAGACAAACAGTCCAACAAGACAACAATCCCCAGTTGTGATAAGTACTGAAAAAATAACTAAAAGGCTGATGTGAGAATGACTGGAAACACCTTTTTGTGTTAGGGTAACTCGGAAAGGCCTCTCTAGGTATGGCACTGGTGCTGTTATGCTGAGAGTATGCATTCCGGATAGGACACGATGAAATGGCACTTCGCATCCTCCCAACCTGAGAAATCATGAGAAAAACATCAGAAAAGCCAAAATTGAGGAGCAGTCTACAAAACACCCGACTAGTAATCCTCAAACTACCAAGGTCAGGAAAAACGAGGAGCATCTGAGAAGCTGCCTCTGCACAGAGCTGAGGAAGGAGGCATGACAGCTAAATGTGGTGTGGAATCCCGATGGGGTCCTGGAGAGGAAAAAGACGTTAGTGGAAAAACTAGCGAAACCGGAGTAAATTCAGAGTTCAGACCAAACATCCCAGTGTTAACTCGTGAGCATTGACAGATGTATAGTAGGAGACATGATGAACATTAGGATAAGCTGGGTGAAGGGTATGCAATATTTTCTATAACACTTCAGAACTTTACTGTGAATCTGAAATTTTTCCAAAATTTTAAAATTTATTTTTTAAAAAGTAAAGATGGAAACACACTAGCCCTGCAAAGATGGTACATGTGTGTGTCCTAGTATGTACAGGATCCTGTTCTGAATGCTAAGGATTGAGTAGTGAACAGTCTTCTAGTTACTGATTCTTATTTTATTTAGGAAAAAAGAGCCATACTTGGCACACAATGCTTGCCAATTTTTAACCAGGCAATGCTGTGATATTTCTTCCTCTCCTCCATCTTCGAAAGTAAGCTGAATTGCTTGGCTCAAATAACTTAAAATATTTTGTTTCAGTTATTTTCCACAGAGTCGATTAAAAACTCCTAAATGAATAAGCATATTATAAAAGAAGGAAGGAAACAGCACTGACTTCATTTTTCATTTAAAGTTACCTGCAGCCAAAAGCAACGTTTAAGTTCTCTGTTTCTTAATGTTTTCTATTAAATGTATAAAAAAAATAACAATAATCAAAGCTTCTTTATGAAAATCCAGCGTTTGCATTTTCACTCACCTGCAATTCAGTTAAAGCATAAATGTTGAAAGAAAATTTCCTCTATGCTTTTAAACACAGGAAAGGACCACTTGCCCAGAGCCTGGGGACATTCAAATCCTTGACTTACTTCTAATTTAACTCTAGGGTCAGACTCTTTGTCATTGAGTATAACAGTGACAACTCACCTTAGATTTCCATTTAGATGAATGTGCTTCTGTCCTGAGAAGAAGTGTCCAGCCCCAGCTTCATCTAATGTTTCCAGGTAATCCTTAACAGCCCCAAAACTGACTCCAAAGAAAGCAACACAGTCAAACTGTCTGTCCCTCTCTCAGGACAACGTCAATAATATACCCACTTTGGGTATTTGGAATATAATTGCAAACTTCAGCCTGAGGCCAATAAAACTTTTTATCTAGGAGACAGACAAATAAAGCATGTGATAAAAAAAAATTGAAAATAAAATAAATAAATAAATCGGATGTGTTACATGGAATGCTGTGGTTGAGTTCACTATGGCTATGGCCAAAGTATGGAGGGGAAGACACAACATGAAAGGGTCATGTGTAACTTCAATATGTATGTAACTTACAATATGAAAGGGTCATACGTAACTTCATATGAAGTTGCAATATGAAAGATTTAGCAGTCCTTTCTTGATCAAGAGAAGATGTTTCTGGGTACTGAATGTGTGGCCCACCTCCACTCCACTCAAGAAAGGTAATGCAGTTAATTTAAGCTTTATAACTGTCAGACAGCAACAATGTGCAACACTCTACTGGTCGCTCTCTAGTGCACTGTTGCAAGAGTGGTCCTGGGTAACAGATGCCCCTCCGAGATGACAAACTATGTCTTGGATATTCCCTCTCTGTCTTACCCTTCCCTCTCTCCAACCATCTCCAACCTTGACTTACAAAACAAGACCACAACCCAACTATCCATAAGTCAAATCTGTCGCTGCTAAGGGAGGACACATTCTGGGACAAGGGAACATTAACATAAGACAAGGCTGAAATAAAAAGTCAGTGTGTGGACAATTATTTGCCAAAAATGATAGAACCTGCATTTCCTCTCTGCTGGGTAGAGCCCTGGTACTAACATTGAATTCTTTCATTGTGCATTATCTCTGGATCTCTAATGTTTAGGACTTGGAGATTAGTTTTGCTTTTCATTTAAAACACAAAAAGCATTTGCTGGCTGAAATAGTCATCTGTTACTGAAATCCCACTTTTCCCTTTATTATCAGCCCAAAAATGTGTGTGTGTGTGTGTGTGTGTGTGTGTGTGTGTGTGTGTGTGTGTAGAGCAGAAAAGCTCAGCTGTTTGCTTTGCAGCTATCTAAAGATTTTAGAACTGAGCTTAGAGGGGGTTTGGGGAATGACGTAAACCTGTTGGTTTCCACGTAGGTGTGAATCTGAGGAGGAGGTAGTGCCCTTGAAAACATATGGATTCCACATGAGGACATTTCCCCACTCTCAAAGTGGGTGCTCATGGTGCCTGCTGTGCCCTGAATCACAGTGAGAATAAAGCTGAGAAAAGAGGTCTTTTTAGGGCTTTCATGGAACAGCCTGTTCCATGTGGCTCCCAATGGCAAGGAAAATGAACAAAGGGGTACACAGTGTTAGCTGCCTACATAGTATCTATTCCTCCATCTTCCTGCTAATAAAACCTTAATTTTGACCAGAGTGAAAATATGTCCCATCCCACAGAATAAATTTTGACTAGTCTAAATCAATCATGACCATCCCACTGCCAGCTTTCCCACACATTCCTGTATCAAGGGATGGCCACATGATCCAGTTCTGTTAACGACCTGTCAAGGGAAGTCAGGCAGGGGCCTTAAGGAAAAGTTTTACCTTCCTAACAAAAGCAAGAGACATGCTTGCCACTATCTTTTTCTTTCCCTTTTCTTCCTGCCTTGAACACAGATGTGATGTTCAGCTGGAACATTTTGCTATCCAAAAAAAAAAGGCCAAGAGAATCTTAGACGTGCTAGCTCTAATGTCATTGAGCCACTGAGCTAATAATATCAGCTTGTTACATGAAACAAATAAGCCTGTAGTCAGGGCTTCTATTATTCACATTAGAAATCATTCCTGGGTTTAAATATTTGCTCATCTTCTATTGCTTAGATAGAAGAGTATAGAACAGTGGTTTCTCTTGAGGAACACCAATCCTTAAATCGATGTTTATTTGGGATTTCCTTTATACTCCATTATCTGTTCAGCTTTAAAGTTCATGTTTCCATGACGGTCACAAGAACCTGTCCTAATGAGGGACCAACCTGTAAAGAAATGACAGCCGTATTTTTCCCTCATGGCTCAGAACTGTCTTAATCAAGATAAGAAAATAGTTGGATTCCTCTGCCTACCCTCTGACCCCTGGATTCCCCTCCACCCTTACTAGTCTGCCTTAGCTACACACAGAGAAATGGTTTTCACAGCCAGTTAACACCATGGTGCGGTGGGAGGCTCAGATGCAAAAGGAAAAATTTATTCTCCATAAAAACAAATCTAAAAGAACTGCCAATGAGAAGAAGGTGGATCTTAAAATTAATGTCACAGCAGGAAAGTTTGTGCAAGAGTATTCTCCTATAAAGGGAAGAAAACTTTGCCTAACAGAATGAAAGGCTAATATCTTTCAGTAATTGACAAAACAGGAAAGATAGTCAATCATTCAGGACTCGGGGTCATACATAAGCAAACAAGCTGTTCATCTGGTGACAGACAGTCTTGCATCAACTATAGATGACTACCTACTGTGAAGTGGCCACACAAATCCCATGGTCTCTCTGAGAGAGGAGCTAGAAGAGTTAAGTGCTGTGTGCTCTGAAAAACACTGCCAGCCTGTAGTAGGTGCTCAGTAAATATTTGTTTAATGAATGAACATTTTCTGACTTTGAAGGGACAGAAAGCCACTAGCTTCTGCAAAGTGACACTGGCCATATTTCAGTTTATATAGAAGAAATATACGAGCAAGTGAAAATGACAGTTTACCCAGACCGTGATGAGATGACCTGGTTTCTGACGACACCCATATTTAACCTGCAGGAAGTAGCCTATGTGCACCCAAGCATTCTGTAGGAAAACAGGGATAATTTTCAGGTAGTGTGGTATGGGCTCTGGAATTAGACTGTCTGAGTTCAAACTGAACCCCACCCCTTACAGCTGTGTAACATTTGGAAATATTAAGTTTCCAAATTTGTTAAGTCTCAATTTCCTATGCAGTACAAGATAGAACAAGAATAGTAACGACTACAGAATTCAGTTATGTGATGATCAAATGAATTAATCTATGTGTAGTGCCAACGTATGACAGCCACTCACTAAATAGTAGCTATTTTTGTTGTTGTCACTTTCCTCATTGGCAGCATCTAACTTGTCATCTCACCCATCAAGCTCAGCCATCAATTGTGGAGAATTCACAATCTCTCTTTTGCTTTTATGCAAAATAATTTGATTCTTTTTTTTTTTTTTAATAGAGTCTCACTCTGTCACCCAGGCTGGAGTGCAGTGGCACAATCTCGGCTCACTGCAACCTCCACCTCCCAGGTTCAAATGATTCTCCTGCCTCAGCCTCCCGAGTAGCTGGGACTACAGGCACGTAACACCATGTCTGGCTAATTTTTTGCATTTTTAGTAGAGACGGGGTTTCACCTTGTTAGCCAGGATGGTCTCGATCTCCTGACCTTGTGATCTGCCCACCCTGGCCTCCCAAAGTGCTGGGATTACAGGCATGAGACACTGTACCCAGCCAAGAATTTGATTTTTTTAATTTAATTTTTTTGTGTGTGTGAGACAGAGTCTCGCTCTGTCACCCAGGCTGGAGTGCAGTGGCATGATCTCATCTCACTGCAACCTCCGCCTCCCAGGTTCAAGTAATTCTCCTGCCTCGGCCTCTTGAGTAGCTTGGATTACAGGCGCACGCCACCATGCCCGGCTAATTTTAGGTATTTTTAGTAGAGACGGCGTTTCACCATGTTGGCTAGGCTGGTCTCGATCTCCTGACCTCAGGTGATTGACCTGCCTTGGCCTCCCAAAGTGCTGGGATTCCAGGTGTGAGCCAGCATGCCCAACCCAATTTAATTTTAACATGAATGACTTTGTCTATTCAGATCTTATGAGGGGTCTCTAATGATTACTGGCAGTGGTTTGGTGCTCTCAGAAGGAAGTTCCAAGACATTAGTCATTCAGCCCGGGGGCTTGCATTTACAAAGCAAGTGGGCTCCCTGGCCATGGCGTGCCACTGGGCTGTGGTCTGAGCTCAGGACAGAGAAGAAGCCTCGCCAGAACCTTAGAAAGAGTCCAATGAAAGGGCTGCTCAGGTCGCCCTGCATGTCTTTGCCTCTCCCCGATCAGCACTCCATAGCATCTAATAATGCTGTCTAGGGAAACACACTCATTTACCACATGTGCTTTCCTTGGCAATTTTTTAAATTTATTTTTATTTCATTTTATTTTTCAACTTTTATTTTAGATTCAGGAGGTACATGTTCTGGTTTGTTACCTGGGTATACTGCATGATGCTGAGGTTTGGGGTACAAATGATCCCATCACCCAGGTACTGAGAATAGCACGCAACAGTTAGTTCTTCAGCTGTTGTCCCCCTCCTTGTCTCTTCCCTCTGGTAGTCTCCAGTGTCTATTGTTTCTTTGGCATTTTTAGATTCATTAGGAACTCTTCTCCCTGCCTACGAGTGATCCATTTTCAAGAAGTGGCTCTCCATGACCAAGTTATTACATAACCTAGAAAGCACTTCAATCATAGCTGAAATTATTTCATATCCCAGTTCATTTGCTTGTTTATGTCTCCTCTCACTGGAATGTTAAATTCCATGAGGATAAGGACTATTTCTGTCCTGGGCTGCTAACATAGTACCTAGAAAACAAGTGTGCCTGTATATATATATAATAATTAATAATTATTAATATAGTATAGCTGTATTTATTCATTATAATTATAGCTCCTTGGAGGCTACCTGCCTTTTTTCTTGTCTGTATCCTCCACTGGACCATAATTATTAATTATAGTATATATATGGAGGAATGAATGAACAAACCACAGGGAACACAGAAGTTGTACACTCTATCTCTACTAATTCAGAATTGCACAGATAATTGAAAAGTTTTTCTTCATTATCATTATGATCATCATAAAACAGCCTCAGATTATTAAGCACCCATTAAGTGCCAACCCTATTGTGCATTTTACACATCTCATTTAATCGTCACAAGCCATATGGCACACATTATTATTCCCGCTTTCCAGATTAAAAAAACGAGGCTTAGAGAAATTATTCGCCAAAAGTTTCCAATTGCCCTTGAGATGGGACTCAAATTTTCCTTTTCTTCCTGTATTATTATTTTTCTTATTTGACAAGTAAAAATTGTATGCATTTCTGACATACAACATGATGTTTTGATACATTTATACTCTGTGGAATGGCTAAATCAAGGTGATTAATGTATGCATTACCTTACGTACTTATGTTTTGTGGTGAGAACACTTAAAATCTACTTTTTTAGCAATATGCAAGTACACATATTTTGTTATTAATTACAGTCACCATGATGTACAGGACTTAAATTTCTTAACATGGTTTACAACTCTAACCTCATCTTCTTTCATAGCTCAAATGCCAGTCTAATGCTTCATTCTCTTCAGTTAGAAATGTGGTACAAAGTGGATTAAACAGTTTATTTTCTCACCTAGGAATTCTGGAAGTAGGAAATGTGGGGCTGTCACAGTGACCCCGTGATATAAGCAAGGCCCCGGGCTCTTTTAATTTTTCCTCTCCACTATTCTGGTATATTGCATTGTTACTTCATGGTCACAAATGGCAGCTGTCCTGTACGCATTGTGTCAGCATTCACAGTGAGGAAGAGGAGGAAGGGCAAAGGTCTGTGCTAGCCGAGTGTTCCTCCTTAATCATGAAACAAAAAAATTTGCAGAATCCCTCCAGCAAACTGTGATAACATCTCATTGACCAGAACTGTATCAAATGGCTATCATTAGGTGCAAGAGAGCCCTCTATGACAGAAGGTAGAGAAGAAAAAAAATGAGGTTGTTTGTGGAGCCAAGATGGCCGAATAGGAACAGCTCCGGTCTACAGCTCCCAGCGTGAGCGATGCAGCGTGATTTCTGCATTTCCATCTGAGGTACCGGGTTCATCTCACTAGGGAGTGCCAGACAGTGGGCGCAGGTCAGTGGGTGCACGCACCGTGCGCGAGCCGAAGCAGGGCGAGGCATCGCCTCACTTGGGAAGCGCAAGGGGTCAGGGAGCTCCCTTTCCGAGTCAAAGAAAGGGGTCACAGACGGCACCTGGAAAATCGGGTCACTCCCACCCGAATACTGCGCTTTTCCCACGGGCTTAAAAAACGGCGCACCACGAGATTATACCCCGCACCTGGCTCGGAGGGTCCTACGCCCATGGAGTCTCGCTGATTGCGAGCACAGCAGTCTGAGATCAAACAGCAAGGCGGCAGCGAGGCTGGGCGAGGGGCGCCCGCCATTGCCCAGGCTTGCTGAGGTAAACAAAGCAGCCAGGAAGCTCGAACTGGGTGGAGCCCACCACAGCTCAAGGAGGCCTGCCTGCCTCTGTAGGCTCCACCTCTGGGGGCAGGGCACAGACAAACAAAAAGACAGCAGCAACCTCTGCAGACTTAAATGTCCCTGTCTGACAGCTTTGAAGAGAGCAGTGGTTCTCCCAGCACGCAGCTGGAGATCTGAGAACGGGCAGACTGCCTCCTCAAGCGGGTGCCTGACCCCTGACCCCCGAGCAGCCTAACTGGGAGGCACCCCCCAACAGGGGCACACTGACACCTCACACGGCAGGGTACTCCAAAAGCCCTGCAGCTGAGGGTCCTGTCTGTTAGAAGGAAAACTAACAAACAGAAAGGACATCCACACCAAAAACCCATCTGTACATCACCATCATCAAAGACCAAAAGTAGATAAAACCACAAAGATGGGGAAAAAACAGAACAGAAAAACTGGAAACTCTAAAAAGCAGAGCGCCTCTCCTCCTCCAAAGGAACACAGTTCCTCACCAGCAACGGAACAAAGCTGGACGGAGAATGACTTTGACAGGCTGAGAGAAGAAGGCTTCAGACGATGAAATTGCTCTGAGCTATGGGAGGACATTCAAACCAAAGGCAAAGAAGTTGAAAACTTTGAAAAAAATTTAGAAGAATGTATAAATAGAATAACCAATACAGAGAAGTGCTTAAAGGAGCTGATGGAGCTGAAAACCAAGGCTCGAGAACTACGTGAAGAATGCAGAAGCCTCAGGAGCCGATGCGATCAACTGGAAGAAAGGGTATCAGCGATGGAAGATGAAATGAATGAAATGAAGCAAGAAGGGAAGTTTAGAGAAAAAAGAATAAAAAGAAATGAGCAAAGCCTCCAGGAAATATGGGACTATGTGAAAAGACCAAATACGTCTGATTGGTGTACCTGAAAGTGATGGGGAGAATGGAACCAAGTTGGAAAACACTCTGCAGGATATTATCCAGGAGAACTTCCCCAATCTAGCAAGGCAGGCCAACGTTCAGATTCAGGAAATACAGAGAACGCCACAAAGATACTCCTCGAGAAGAGCAACTCCAAGACACATAATTGTCAGATTCCCCAAGGTTGAAATGAAAGAAAAAATATTAAGGGCAGCTAGAGAGAAAGGTCGGGTTACCCTCAAAGGGAAGCCCATCAGACTAACAGTGGATCTCTCGGCAGAAACCCTACAAGCCAGAAGAGAGTGGGGGCCAATATTCAACATTCTGAAAGAAAAGAATTTTCAACCCAGAATTTCATATCCAGCCAAACTAAGCTTCATAAGTGAAGGAGAAATAAAATACTTTACAGACAAGCAAATGCTGAGAGATTTTGTCACCACCAGGCCTGCCCTAAAAGAGCTCCTGGAGGAAGCGCTAAACATGGAAAGGAACAACCGGTACCAGCCGCTGCAAAATCATGCCAAAATGTAAAGACCATCGAGACTAGGAAGAAACTGCATCAACTAACGAGCAAAATCACCAGCTAACATCATAATGACAGGATCAAATTCACACATAACAATATTAACTTTAAATGTAAATGGACTAAGTCCTCCAATTAAAAGACACAGACTGGCAAATTGGATAAAGAGTCAAGACCCATCAGTGTGCTGTATTCAGGAAACCCATCTCACATGCAGAGACACACATAGGCTCAAAATAAAAGGATGGAGGAAAATCTACCAAGCAAATGGAAAACAAAAAAAGGCAGGGGTTGCCATCCTAGTCTCTGATAAAACAGACTTTAAACCAACAAAGATCAAAAGAGACAAAGAAGGCCATTACATAATGGTAAAGGGATCAATTCAACAAGAAGAGCTAACTATCCTAAATATATATGCACCCAACACAGGAGCACCGAGATTCATAAAGCAAGTCCTGAGTGACCTACAAAGAGACTTAGACTCCCACACATTAATAATGGGAGACTTTAACACCCCACTGTCAACATTAGACAGATCAACGAGACAGAAAGTCAACAAGGATACCCAGGAATTGAACTCAGCTCGGCACCAAGTGGACCTAATAGACATCAACAGAACTCTCCACCCCAAATCAACAGAATATACATTTTTTTCAGCACCACACCACACCTATTCCAAAATTGACCACAAACTTGGAAGTAAAGCTCTCCTCAGCAAATGGAAAAGAACAGAAATTATAACAAACTATCTCTCAGACCACAGTGCAATCAAACTAGAACTCAGGATTAAGAATCTCACTGAAAACCGCTCAACTACATGGAAACTGAACAACCTGCTCCTGAATGACTACTGGGTACATAACGAAATGAAGGCAGAAATAAAGATGTTCTTTGAAACCAATGAGAACAAAGACACAACATACCAGAATCTCTGGGACGCATTCAAAGCAGTGTGTAGAGGGAAATTTATAGCACTAAATGCCCACAAGAGAAAGCAGGAAAGATCCAAAATTGACACCCTAACATCACAATTAAAAGAACTAGAAAAGCAAGAGCAAACACATTCAAAAGCTAGCAGAAGGCAAGAAATAACTAAAATCAGAGCAGAACTGAAGGAAACAGAGACAGAAAAAACCCTTCAAAAAATTAATGAATCCAGGAGCTGGTTTTTTGAAAGGATCAGAAAATAGATAGACCACTAGCTAGCAAGACTAATAAAGAAAAAAAGAGAGAAGAATCAAATACATGCAATAAAAAATGATAAAGGGGATATCACCACCGATCCCACAGAAATACAAACTACCATCAGAGAATACTACAAACACCTCTACGCAAATAAACTAGAAAATCTAGAAGAAATGGATAAATTCCTCGACACATACATTCTCCCAAGACTAAACCAGGAAGAAGTTGAATCTCTGAATAGACCAATAACAGGATCTGAAATTGTGGCAATAATCAATAGCTTACCAACCAAAAAGAGTCCAGGACCAGACGGATTCACAGCCGAATTCTACCAGAGGTACAAGGAGGAACTGGTACCATTCCTTCTGAAACTATTCCAATCAATAGAAAAAGAGGGAATCCTCCCTAACTCATTTTATGAGGCCAGCATCATTCTGATACCAAAGCCTGGCAGACACACAACCAAAAAAGAGAATTTTAGACCAATATCCTTGATGAACATTGATGCAAAAATCCTCAATAAAATACTGGCAAAACGAATCCAGCAGCACATCAAAAAGCTTATCCACCATGATCAAGTGGGCTTCATCCCTGGGATGCAAGGCTGGTTCAACATACGAAAATCAATAAATGTAATCCAGCATATAAACAGAGCCAAAGACAAAAACCACATGATTATCTCAATAGATGCAGAAAAGGCCTTTGACAAAATTCAACAACCCTTCATGCTAAAAACTCTCAATAAATTAGGTATTGATGGGACGTATTTCAAAATAATAAGGGCTATTTATGACAAAACCACAGCCAATGTCATACTGAATGGGCAAAAACTGGAAGCATTCCCTTTGAAAACTGGCATAAGACAGGGATGCCCTCTCTCACCACTCCTATTCAACATAGTGTTGGAAGTTCTGGCCAGGGCAATTAGGCAGGAGAAGGAAATAAAGGGTATTCAATTAGGAAAAGAGGAAGTCAAATTGTCCCTGTTTGCAGATGACATGATTGTATATCTAGAAAACCCCATTGTCTCAGCCCAAAATCTCCTTAAGCTGATAAGCAACTTCAGCAAAGTCTCAGGATACAAAATCATTGTACAAAAATCACAAGCATTCTTATACACCAATAACAGCCAAACAGAGAGCCAAATCATGAGTGAACTCCCATTCACAATTGCTTCAAAGAGAATAAAATACCTAGGAATCCAACTTACACGGGATGTGAAGGACCTCTTCAAGGAGAACTACAAACCACTGCTCAAGGAAATAAAAGAGGATACAAACAAATGGAAGAACATTCCATGCTCATGGGTAGGAAGAATCAATATCGTGAAAATGGCCATACTACCCAAGGTAGTTTACAGATTCAATGCCATCCCCATCAAGCTACCAATGACTTTCTTCACAGAATTGGAAAAAACTACTTTAAAGTTCATATGGAACCAAAAAAGAGCCCGCATCGCCAAGTCAATCCTAAGCCAAAAGAACAAAGCTGGAGGCATCACACTACCTGACTTCAAACTATACTACAAGCCTACAGTAACCAAAACAGCATGGTACTGGTACCAAAACAGAGATATAGATCAATGGAACAGAACAGAGACCTCAGAAATAATGCCGCATATCTACAACTATCTGATCTTTGACAAACCTGAGAAAAACAAGCAATGGGGAAAGGATTCCCTATTTAATAAATGGTGCTGGGAAAATTGGCTAGCCATATGTAGAAAGCTGAAACTGGATCCCTTCCTTACACCTTATACAAAAATCAATTCAAGATGGATTAAAGACTTAAACGTTAGACCTAAAACCATAAAAACCCTAGAAGAAAACCTAGGCATTACCATTCAGGACATAGGCATGGGCAAGGACTTCATGTCTAAAACACCAAAAACAATGGCAACAAAAGACAAAATTGACAAATGGGATCTAATTAAACTAAAGAGCTTCTGCACAGCAAAAGAAACTACCATCAGAGTGAACAGGCAACCTACAAAATGGGAGAAAATTTTCGCAACCTACTCATCTGACAAAGGGCTAATATCCAGAATCTACAATGAACTCAAACAAATTTACAAGAAAAAAACAACCCCATCAAAAAGTGGGCGAAGGACATGAACAGACACTTCTCAAAAGAAGACATTTATGCAGCCAAAAAACACATGAAAAAATGCTCATCATCACTGGCCATCAGAGAAATGCAAATCAAAACCACAATGAGATACCATCTCACACCAGTTAGAATGGCAATCATTAAAAAGTCAGGAAACAACAGGTGCTGGAGAGGATGTGGAGAAACAGGAACACTTTTACACTGTTGGTGGGACTGTAAACTCGTTCAACCATTGTGGAAGTCAGTGTGGCAATTCCTCAGGGATCTAGAACTAGAAATACCATTTGACCCAGCCATCCCATTACTGGGTATATACCCAAAGGACTATAAATCATGCTGCTATAAAGACACATGCACACGTATGTTTATTGCGGCATTATTCACAATAGCAAAGACTTGGAACCAACCCAAATGTCCAACAATGATAGACTGGATTAAGAAAATGTGGCACATATACACCATGGAATACTATGCAGCCATAAAAAAATGATGAGTTCATGTCCTTTGTAGGGACATGGATGAAATTGGAAATCATCATTTTCAGTAAATTATCGCAAGAACAAAAAACCAAACACCGCATATTCTCACTCATAGGTGGGAATTGAACAATGAGATCACATGGACACAGGAAGGGGAACATCACACTCTGGGGACTGTTGTGTGGTGGGGGGAGGGGGGAGGGATAGCACTGGGAGATATACCTAATGCTAGGTGACAAGTTAGTGGGTGCAGCGCATCAGCATGGCACATGTATACCTATGTAACTAACCTGCACAATGTGCACATGTACCCTAAAACTTAAAGTATAATAATAAAGGGGAAAAAAAAAGGAAGAAAAAAAATGATAGAAATAATTTTCAATTTAGTCAACCAACAATCTCTGCACTCAACCATCCAGAGCTACTGTCAGAGTTACAAAATGGCAATGCTTGCTCTTATTCCTAGAGCCTTGCACATGTTCTTCCTTCTTCTTTCTTTAGCTTGATATGTTTCCTCTTCTTTGATATTTTCCCTGGCTGAAACATCTCCCACCACCAAGAGTGGGTAAATGCCCTCCTATCAGTTTTCTTAGCTCCTTGGAAACTACCTGCCATTTTTCTTGTCTGTATCCGCCACTGGATCAAACTCTTTGAAGATGGTACCATGTATTTTCATCACCATATCCTAGCATCTATCACAGTGTCTGGCACAATAAGCCTTTATTGACTGAATGAAGTGAAAAATCTAGGACTCAAACTTAGGCCTTTCCAATTCCAAAGGCCACATTCTGTTCGTTATGTAACACTGACTATGAAAAACAAAACAACATATTTTAGAAATCCCTTGTAAAAACTCTCCAGCCTCTCCTTGAAAGACACCATAGAGTTTTACTGTTTATCATCATCATCATCCTCATTATCACATTTCTCTTTTGCCCTCTAATAGAGGACCCAGAAACAAAGAGAGTAACCAAAAGCTGGGCAGGAGGACAACAGAGCCTGAAAAATAGCCAAACTGAGTGACTAGTTTCCAAGAAAAAATAAAAGCTGAATATAATGAAGAAAAATATTTCAAAGTTCAAATAGGATGCTCTGGCATACCTAATTGTAGCCCCAGTACTAACTGGCATTTGCTTTTTATTTTTCCATACATATTTAGTATTTATAGACCAAAGCTCACGTTCTGTGATTTTTTTAATGACTTCCAAATGCATTGCGATCACTTAAAGGTAATTATTCATTCAGACGAAATGTACATCTAACAACCAGAGCTTTCTCAAGCAGAAAAGTCCCCTCAGAGATGGCTGAGAAAATGTTATGCTCAACCTGTGCAATGTTGTTAGAAAGAAAGGAAATTTCTTGTCATCTGCTGGCAAGATGCCATTCCTCCACTTGCCCCTCTCAACTCATGTGAGAGGCAAAGCATCAATACCACACTTTTGGCTAACACAATGACAGAAATAATTACCTTCACCTGGGACAGTCTAAGTTCTGGGTTGGATTTTTGTTTGTTTCTCTTTTTGGCATTTTAATTTGGTCACTATTTTTTTCCATATTTCCACCATTCAACACTCAAACCTCATACATGTTAAATGAGTCATCCTCTTTTCTGTTTCAGCATATTTTTAATGAGAAGAAATTGTATCTTCTGTGGTGACTTAAATACGTCCACAAATGCTTTGATACGTGAAATATGTTCACACCTCCTTTCAGAAAAGGAAGGCTAATTCCTTTCCCTCTGAATGTGGGCTAAACTCCATGACTCATTTCTGACCAATAGAATAAAATGGAAAGGACAGTGTATAACTGGGAGACTAGGTTGTAAAAGGCACTGCGATCTCTCCTCTCTCTCTCTCTCTCTCTCTCTCTCTCTCTCTCTCTCTCTCTCTCTCATATTACTCGCTCTGGGAGGAGCCAGCTGCCATGTAACAAAGACACTCAAGCCTTGTGGAGAGACCCTCATAGAGAGTAACTGAGGCCTCCTGCCAACAGCCACATAAATGAGCTCAGAAGCAGATCCTCCAGCCTCAGTCAAGCCTCAGATGACTACAGCCTCACACTATTTACTGCAAACTCATGAGAGACCTTGAGCCAAGACAATCCAACTAAGCTGCTCCCAATTTTCCAATGCATAGAAATAAATGTGTATTTATTTCTATTATAAGAAATATTAAGTGTTTATTGTTGGAAGCCACTAAGTTTGGGGATGATTTATTGCATAAGAATAAATCACTAATTCAATTACATTAAAAATATATACAATTATCACCAAAAACCCGTCATCCTAATATGGTTTCCATCTTTGTATATTCTCTTCCACATGTAAATGCTTTATATAATTGTTATCATAAGCTGTTACAATTCTTATTCTGTCATATTGCCATATTTAAACACATCCTTTGTTGTTATAATGTCTTTATAATTGATATTTTTAACATTTAAATAATACTTGTTCATGTGGATATGCCATAATTTTTAAGTCATTTCCATAATATTGAACATTTCAGCAGTCTTCAGATTTTTTTCTATTAGAACTTTTACTGCAGTGAATATCTTTGAATATACAGCGTTTTGCTTCTCTTATTTGGTTAAGGTAAACTTTCTGTATTTGAATTACTGGGGAAAAAAAGTATGAACATCTTTGTGCCTCTCATTAAATAATATCATATTTTCTTTTCAAAAAGATATATAAATTTATCAGCAATGAATAAGTGTACCAGCTACACTACAACCATAATTATATTACAATCATTTAAAGTTGTGCTAAAAGGTACAAAATTGCATCTCAAGTTTGCTTTAATTTAAATTTCTTTGATTCCTAATGAGATTGTATGGGCTTTTTTAATGTATAATTATTGTTTCTACTTTTGTGAATTATCTCCTCCTATATTTTGTGATTATCCTAGTTTTAGTTGCACTTTTCTTATAAATTTGGATGTAAAATTACAGATTAGAAATATTAACCTTTAGAAATATTAGCCTTTGATTAAAATGTTTTTCCAGTCAGTTGTGCATTTATACAAGTTTCCTTTTCTCAGTATACAAAAATTCTTAATTTTTTACATTCAAATATATCAATACTTCTATGTTATTTCTTCCATTGCTTTCTACTACTGCATAGCTAAGAGAGTTCACATTTTCCCTCTGATCTGAACTGTTATTTTCTTCTAGTTTCTCTAGAATTTATGAAGAGGTGTTTCATTTTGTTTTGTTTGTACCCCAAATCCATCAGGAATTAATTTTCATACATACTGTAAAATGTAGATATTTTTCAGAATTTTTCTTATTTTTAATTTAAAATAGTTCACAGTAACTTGGTTTTTAAATGCCTACAATACTCCTAGGGGTAACTGTGATCACTGAATTGTCACCAAAACAATGGCAAAGAATGACATAACCAAGACCTACGGCGGACACTATAACTGGAGACTTCTCTTTTTTTTTTTTTCATGTCCATAGAAGAGACAAGTGCTTCTGGGAGACTGGGCTCCTCCCTAGCCCAAGGGGGTGAATCATGATTGGCCCAAGTCAAATATTTTATTTTTCCGTGACTGATTTAGGCTTGGGTTTGTCTTACCATGTTGGCCAATGATAAGTGCAGAAAAACCTGCCAGGCGGTCTCTGCCAATAGCCTTTCTCACGAACAGAAAGAGACATACAGAAAGAAAGATACCTCTTCCATCAAAATTGCTACCTGCCTGTGCCTAGAACATGTCAGGAACCTTGCAACCATAAAAAGACAAGTCAGAGAACAAATGCTGAAGATGATAGAGCAGACAGATGGCAAGACGGGTATTACATGATGGTGTTGCACTACGGAATTAACCCATTCTAGCACTGCCCTACCTAAAAATGTGTTCTTTAACAGAATATGTATTCCTATTGTTATTGCCACTTTCAGACACCTTTTCGTTATTTTCAGCCACAAATATCTTAAATTTTAAAACCTCTTTAATGTTTTTCCCCTTGCTCGTTGATTTCTCACACACTGTCTAGAAACGATGCCACAGGGTTAAGTTCCGGATTCGTAAATTCCAAGAGGCAAAAAGGCGGAGCGTATCTGGGAGAGTGTATTCTGTGAACCTCGCCATTAGCAGGAGATGGGGTCTTCACTCCCCCAAGAGCCTTTGCAAACACTGTGTTTCTCCCATATTCCAACTGTGCCTTTGTGCTCAGGGCCCTTTGCCTTCTTTCTCAGTAACAAAGCACACCTATTAGAACCCTAAGTACTTACAGGCTCCAACTTTCCCAAGAGGATGAGTTGCAGTGAATGACAAACACCATTTTCCACCGCCATTAAATGCAAATCTCTAGACACCTCCTTATCAGCAACAATACAATGAAAACTGAACACTCTGCTAACAAGATTTTGATAGTAAGAGTTGTAAACTGCCATGTTCTACAAATCCTGCCACAGAGGAACAAGAGTTTGCCCAATTAGCAACCTTCTTAATAATAACAGCAAATACATATTCAAACAACCTGAGACTAAATGAAAAATTCAAATAAATCAGAAGCTTGGTCTACAGCAGTGGTTTTTAACTGAGCTCACTAGAACCCTCGAGATTCTCTACAGAAACACCTCAAACGAAAATAAGTGGGACTGAGGAAATAGCTCAATCCCGGGCCCCTCTTCAAATGAAAAGCTCTGCTTTTATCTGTGTTTTTTATATATTGGTCTTATGCAATATTCAACTTGAAGAAAGACTTTCTTGTTGTTGTGAAACACTAGCTGACACTCTTAATGTTTTGGAGGCATAATAAACAATAAAATTTTTGCAAAATTTATACCAAAATAAGCAACCAGATCATTAAGGGAAAGATGGGAAAGCAGAAGATACTATCTCTTTTTTCTTGTTATTTTTATTTTCCTTCTTGTCATTTTTAGTATAATAACTTAATGAAAGGTCAACATATATGTGTATTTTTCATATGAGAACTGGAACAGATGAGACTTTCATTATTGGATCCTGGTGCTATATCTGGTCTTCTTGATGTATGTTGGATGAGAGGGGATGGTAAGAAGGAGAAGGTTGGTTCTCATCGTTCCATTTTATTTTGATAACCTGCCCGCACAAATTACTGGCATAGCTTTCACCACATTGGCACACACAGGCTATTTCTATTGATCTCGAAACTTAAAGAGTCCATGACCTCATCTGAAGTATGCTTTTTAATAATTCACTCCATTTAAAGACCCATTAAAATGTCATAACTGTCATAAACCTTGTAAACAGTTGTTACTTCTAATGTCTTCAAAATAATAATGCATTATTGATGAAAACTTGGTTCATAATCACATTACTCCCATTTGACAAAGCCAATACAGTATATGCTTTTTTCCACATCCCAGAACTTGTTCATTCCCCTTCAGCTAGGCCTCCCCGGGTTCTTCCAAAGAGTTCTTTGGAATCTTCTCATGACCCAAGCCAAGACTGACTTATGGGCTGACTTACTTCAAAGAGGACACTAGCGCAAAGATATGATTATAAATTTGCCTGGAGAAGCCACTGACCAGACAGTACAAAAGGAGGAAGGAGCTGGGGAGTTAGAAATCCACTGTTAGGCCAGGAGTGGTGGCTCATGCCTGTAATCCCAGCACTTTGGGAGGCTGAGGCAGGAAGATTGCCTGATCTCGGAGTTCAAGACCAGCCTGGGCAATAAAGTGAGACACCATCTTTACAAAAAAATACAAAAACTAGCCAGGTGTGGTGGCATGCACCTGTAGTTCCAGCTATTCAAGAGGCTGAGGCAAGAGGACCATTTGAGCCCAGGAGTTCGAGGTTGTAGTGAGCTGTGATCATGCCACTGCACTTGACTCTGTCTCTAAAGAAAAAGAAAGGAAAGAAAGAGAAAGAGAGAGAGACAGAGAGGGAGGAAGGGAGGAAGGAAGGGAAGGAAAAGGGAGGGAAGGAAGGGAGGAAGGAAGGGAAGGAAAAGGGAGGGAAGGAAGGGAGGAAGGAAGGGAAGGAAAAGGGAGGGAAGGAAGGGAGGAAGGAAGGAAGGAAGGAAGGAAGGGAGGGAGGGAGGGAGGGAGGGAGGGAAAGAAAGAAAAAGAAGGAAGGCAGGAAGGCAGGGAAGGCAGGAAGAAAGAAAGAAAGAGAGAGAGAGAAAGAAAGAAAGAAAAATAGAGAAAGAAAGAAAGAGAGAAAGAAAGAAAGAAAGAAATCCACTGCTAGCTGACATGTTGGCTTCTTTGGATGTATAAGGCTTTCTCCTTCAGAAATTCCTAGGTATAAACACACAAACTTGATTTCAGGTGCTTTTTCAATGGAGCATGAATACAAAGAACATATTAGTTTGATTATCAATCAAACGAGTAAAATGAAAAAAATTCTCCAAAATATGGGATTCTCCTTAAAAGTAGAGTTGCCAGGTAAAATGCAGGATCCGCAGTTAATTTTGAATTTCAGATAAATGACGAATAATTTTTAGTAAAAATATGTCCCAAATAATGCATGGGACACGTACTAAAGAATGATTTGTCATATATCTGAAATTCAAATTCTCCTTGGCATCTTGTATTTTTATTTGCTAAATCTGGCAATGATACCTAAAAAGTACGTTTTAATGCCTCACCTAACATTAAAAATGCTGATGGTGCCAGCTTAGTGGTCCCCAATTCAGGCAACACATTAGAATTACCTGCGGTTGCCTAGGCCCACCCTTTACAGCAGCTAAATCAGTTTGGGGAATAGCACCCAGGCATTATTTTAAGCTCCCCAGGGGGTTCTAATGGACATCTAGGACTCAGAACCATGTTGCTGGTAGATATAATGACCCTCTCAGAGAGGCATATCAAAGATGTCTCAGGATCTAGTGACAGGGAAATATATGTATGTTTAAAAGCATATTCAACATTTTAATATAAATTTATATTTGAAAAATAAAATGTGTTTATGTTATAATCTACAAACAAATAAGAGTAACCAAGTTATTCAAATGTGGACAGCTAAAAGAGATAATAAAGCACATAGTCCAGAACCTGGGGCAAGTCCCCATGGGGCAGAGCACCTGGGAATAGAGAACAGGGGTCACAAGGCAAGGGGCAGGCAGGATTTAATGGGTGCACAGGTGCCCCGGGTCAGAGGGTAACAAAGACCAGGGTTCAGGAAAACAGACAACAAGAAGTAGGACCTCGGGCCAAGAAGCTAGACAGTCACCAGCCAGGCACCAGCAGATGCACAACCGATCATGTAGTTCTGCCAGTTGCAGGACTTTGGGGACATCAATCCCAGCACCTGGCTGGCACAGGGTTCACAAGTGACATAGGTGTGAGCATTTGGCTACAGTAGGGAACAGAGTTACAGAGAAGGGCAATGGTAAATTCACTTCTCTGAGTGAAATGCCAACTGACCTGCACCTATGGTGATTTGAAATGAATTTGACGCTTAGAAGTCACAGCTTTTAGTCCTGCATATTTTTTTTTTTTCTTTGAGACAGGGTCCCACACCAATGCCCCGGCTGGAGTCCAGTGGTCACAGCTCACTGCAGCCTCAACCTCCCAGGTTCAGGTGATTCTCCCACCTCAGCCTACCAAGTTCCTGGAACTACAGGTGCGCACCACCCCACCTAGCTAGCTTTTTGTGGGGTTTTTTTTTAGTAGAGACGGGGTTTCACCGTGTTTCTCAGGCTGGTCTCGAACTCCTGGGCTCAAGCAATCCGCCCACCTGAGCCTTTCAAAGTGTTAGGATTACAGGCATGAGCCACCATGCCTGGCCTAGTCCTGTGTACTTTAAGTAGGGTGATGTGCTCAACCTGAGTTCTTTTCTGAAAAACAAGGAACATAACCTTCTTTGTGGGGATGTGTAAGCAGCATACCCAGAGACAAGTTTGCACTGAATGCTGCAGCCCTAGAGCAGAAGCCAGGCATTCTGAAGTCACCCACTGCCCCGGGAACGACAAAAAGGAGGGGTAAATGTACTACAACTCTCATTGACTACACAATAATAAAAGTCATCTTGCATTTGCTAATCCTCCTCCATCTCCATTTTATGTCCTACGTTTATATTTTACTGAGAATTCTATTCTCCTAATAAAATAACATCCTGCTTTTATGATCTTCTTCATGCAAAAAACCTTAAACCACAGCAACCTATCCCTCCCAAAGGCATAAAAGTAAACCAAAAGCCATATGGCACTGGAATTAAAGTCAGCATATTGTTGTGTTGTATAATTCACCATTATTACAAATGATTTCTCAGTGATATTATGGTATTAACCCACTCTAGTGTGCAATGATTCATTATAGTTCTGTTTTCCTTTGAAGCCCAGCCAGCTGTATTTCAAGTGGAGCTCAGCTGAATTTAACCACACAAACATTATATTGCCAGCACCATTCCCCAGCCCAGCCACCTGACTCATGGAAACTGCGTGTTTCAGGCCATCCGCAGGGTTTCTAGCTCTCAGCACACAAAGAATGCTGCAACTCCGTATCTACAAGATTCCATCCTAATTTGTGGAGGTAATCAGTTCCATCCATCCTTACAGACATCTGACCTTGTCACTCATATTATACTAGAAAATTTTGAGTCAGGTGCCCAGCTCCCTAATTTCTTGATGGGTAAATCTGAAGATAGTTAATGAAAGTCACAAGAGAGATTGTGGAATTTCTCTCAATTAATGAGGAAGATGTAAATTTGCCTTCCTTTCACAGAGGGAACTTGGTACTTAACAAGTATATTAAACAACATACATTAAACAGCATACATTAAACAACTATGTAGGAAACCTTTATGTATACATAAACTACATCACATATGTATGCATAAAAATATGCGTTTGTCATCTTGATGACCCCAGTCTCACAACTCCCTGGGCTCACCCTGTCTCTTAATATTCAAGTAAAATGATTCAAACGACCATACTACTGAGGAGACAAGCAGACCCTGATTATCTGGGAACAGGCCTGGTACTATGAGCAACACTTTGGTGTATTTTTTTGTTGAACACAAATAACTTTATGGACCATCAGCACCAAACAAGGCCACTCTGTGCCCATGACGGATCAGGACAAAAATAAGACCACTCCATACGTGTGAACACAGACAAAGCAGGAATATTGTCCAACCCACGAAATACCAGATGTCCCCCTCTCCGAGCTAATGTGTGCAACTGCTGCTGCTTTACCAACTAAGGTTTCAGCCTCATTCTAGCCTGCCCACCCGATGCATAAGATAGTTAGGATAACCAATCATACAATTATCTCCGCTTCCTGACAGCATTCAATTAGAGCAAAGCCCGCTTCCTTAAAACCTCCCCTAAAATCACCCAACACAAGACCAAAGCCTGCAAGCCTTCATAAATCCATTCACTGAGACGCCCCACAGCTCCCCACAAGGTAAGTTCTCCCCCGCTGCAGCTGCAATGAGTAGTAGACCCAACTTGTTCAACTATTAACACATATGTGTTCCTGGTGTTCTTTGGCTACAGGACATTGAGACTTGGAACATCAGAATTTATCCTTATCTTTTCAAATGTCATTTCCCCTGGCATATTTGAGAGAAAGGGTTACCTAGCTTCCATACTTGGGTCAATCCTGCTTCGTGGCTGTTCTCTGGATCCTAACCGACATGCTCAGCTCCATGTTAGGAGTTCTGGACCACTGTCTTTTGCCCTCTTTCTGCAGAACATCACAAACACAAGGTTATGAGCAAAATAAGTATTTGTGTGAGGATTTGGAAGTAATGGAGTGCAGCATGGAATACACAACTTGAAACTGACTATCATACATCCGTGCCAACATTTCTCAAGGACTCCCTCACCCCCTCCCTCTACTGCCACCTTCCTTTCCCCCTAAGTTTTTTTTTGGGTTTTTTTTTTTTTTTTTTTTTTTTTGAGACAGAGTCTCGGTCTGCCACCCAGGCTGGAGTGCAGTGGCGTGATCTCGGCTCACTGCAAGCTCCGCCTTCCGGGTTCACGCCATTCTCCTGCCTCAGCCTCCCGAGTAGCTGGGACTACAGGTGGCCGCCACCATGCCCAGCTAACTTTTTGTTTTCTGTATTTTTAGTAGAGACGGGTTTTCACCGTGTTGGCCAGGATGGTCTCAATCTCCTGACCTTGTGATCTGCCTGCCTCTGCCTCCCAAAGTGCTGAGATTACAGGTGTGAGCCACCGCGCCCGGCCGTCTTTCCCCCTAATTTTAAAGAATTTCTCACTATCTGGGTTCTCCTTGCTCCCCTACCTCCATGCCACCAGCTTTGTTTATGTGTTTGTCCTTTCATCCTTCTGTCATCTGAACCCCCAAACTTCAGCTTCCAGCAGCCTCTCCTCAACATTCCTCTCTTGTTTATTTGCAGAGCCTCCAAACCCTGAACTCTCTTGCCCACAGGAAAGGTGGTGAAAACTTTATTATGCAAATCATTTTTCTCGTTTGCATGCCCTACCCTAAGCACCCTAGTAGCAGTTGGCATGGAGCTGAATCGGGTAGTAAGCAGAGAAATCAACATTTCTATAAAACCACCCCAAGAAGGTATATGAATTTTTAAAACAAAAGAAAAATGTTCCTCCTGGATGGAATTCTGCTCTAATTCTACTAGAGTAGTGGTTTTCAAACTTTCTTGGTTGAGAACCTCAATAAGAAATACATTTACATTGCAACTCAGTATATACACATACAAACATGATGGATGAGAAAGAGACTGAGAGACAGAGAGAAAGAGAGAGAGATCTCTTACCCTTACTAAAATGCTCTCTGGCCAGGCATGGTGGCTCACGCCTATAATCCTGGCACTTTGGGAGGCCAAGGCAGGAGGATCGCTTGAGCTCAGAAATTCAAGATCAGCCTGGGGAACATAGGGAGATTCCATCTCTACAAAATAATAATAATAATAATAATAAATTAGCTAGGCATTGTGGCTTACACCTGTGGTCCCAGTTACTCAGGAGGCTGAGGTGGGAGGATCACTTGAGCCCAGGAGTTCAAGATCAGCCTGGGCAACACAGTAAGATCCCATCTCTACAAAAAATAAAAAAATTAGCTGAGTGTGGTGGTGCATGCCTGTAGTTCAGCTACTCAAGAGACTGAGGTGGGAGGATCATTTGAGCCTGGAATGTCAAGGCTGCAGTGTGCTGTGGTCACACGACTGCACTCCAGAGTGGGCAACAGAGTGAGACCCTAAAACAAAGTAGTCTCTACAAAAAAAAAAAAAATACAAAAATTAGCCAGGTGTGGTGGTGCATACCTGTGGTCCCAGCTACTCAGGAAGCTGAGGTAGGAGGACTGTTTGAGTGTAGGAGGTCAAGGCTGCAGTGAGCCACGTTTGCATCACTGTACTCCAGCCTAGGTAACCAAGTGAGACCCTATCTCAAAAAAAAAAAAAAGTAAAACGCAATAAAAATAAACTGCACCCTGATATTTCCTTTTTAATTCTACTTTTTTTAAATGGAAAAATTCTAGTTGGCTGAAACCTGTTATGCTGATTTCATTACCCATTAATGGATCTCACATGGTAGTTTGAGCATGCTCTCCTACAGCAACTAATATTTAAAATAACAAACTTTTCTTCCAACTATAGGTAGAAAGATAGATCTTATACACACACACACTCTCACATGAGGTATCACCTGGCAGGTTCTTGAGCCGGAGGAATAATACAAGACAGAAGGAAAAAATGTGAATCGCCTCTTCTCTGTAGCTTGAATTCACCTGACTGCGGCAACGCTCAAAGTGTAGCATCAATTCATATGGCGACCAGTTCATTTGAAGGAGTTCCTTTCAGGTGAAGAGATTTGTTGAGGCCCAGCCAAAGATGAAGCAAATCAAGGCCCAGATGAGAGGTAACTCAGGACGTGACTTCAGTGGCCTCCAAGAACAGATGCAAAGAACCCAGCGGCCCAGCAATTACACAGAACTGCAAAGTGGGAGAATGCAGATAGGCAAAATAAAGAGTAATAAGACCACAACCACACCTAGGGCAGTTCAGGGAGCCGATGTCAACATAGAGAAGGAGAAGTGGTTGACGGGAATTACAGGGGGACGAACAGCCCCAGGAACAGAAACCAGCCATGGAGGAAGGGGTGTAAACCACACAGGTAAAGTGATACTTACCCTGGAACCAGAACCAGAAACTATGGATCCTACAGGAAATGGATGCAGCTTCTTAGAGCTGTAACATACCTTTCAACCGATTGGTAGCTCTCCCCTGAGCAGAAAATCCACTTGTGAATTTGAAGGTCCCAGATATTTTTGCAGAATGAAGCCTTGTTCTACAAAGGCCAAAGACAACGTACGGTGCATTAAGCCAGGCAAGGTTGATGAGAATGATGAGGATTAAACGCTATTTTTACCAATAATTTGAGACAGTGCCCCATTTTGGCTACTTTTCACACCTTTACCCTTAATTCATACATCTTCTCAAATAGAGGTTTGTAAGTGTGCATTCATTATCTTTCCCTGGAGTTATAAATTCATTTTCACTGATTTTTAAGCTCTAGACAGCCTTGCTAGTATGTTTACATTGTGGTGTTTATTTTCAGAGGTAGAACTGCAATAAATGAAAAATATTTTCCCTTCAGTAGAAAGGGAAATATTATACTTAGATATTTATAAGTGGTTATTTTTTAAATGCTAAGACAAAAATATTATAATTATTATACATTGCTGACAATTTTCTGAGTGTTTCTAGTTTAAAGACAAAGTAATATTCATGACATGAACTATACTTCAAACTGAATATGGAATAAAAATGTATTTAAATAACGAGAGAAAACTGCATATCTAAGTGTACATGCAAATCAGCTTAACTGTTTTATATTAGAGTTACTATGATGGGAAATCACCATAATAAAAATAATAAAGCTACTATTTTTTGAGTACCTATCTTATGCCAAGTGCTGTGATGGATATTTTATATGTGCTCTCTTATTTAATACTCACAATAACCCCAAGAAGGAGGTAATATTAACCCTATTTTGCAGATGATGAAATCAAAGTACAGAGAGATTAAGTCATCTGCCCAAGGTTACACTGCTAGTAAGTGGCCAAACTAGGATTTAGACCTGTATCTCCCCCCACAAGTCTATATTTGTTTCCTGTTTCTACACTGCCTCCTCCATCTCAACCTTTGGGGAGATGACATCCAGGTGCTTATTCTGGGTACAAGGCTTTGCCCAGTCAAATGCCATCATCTTTAGAACCTTCCAGAGAATATGGATGTGAAAACTCTAGACAGTTATGTTCTCTCACCAGGAAGTAAGCAGACTGTACTCACTCATGTGAAATGCAAGACAGACTCAAGTGGGTTTCCGAGGGTTTCTTTTCAGACATAAGACCTCAGCAAGAGCCTTCTAGGACACCACCAATGTCTGCAGAGCCTGGTTCAGCCCGGGGCTTCAGATAGTTTTGGATGTTCCCCTCAGCAGACTGCAAGCTCTGTAAAGACAGTTGTATATGGCATAGAATGGACCAGTCACTGAGGACACAATAAATGCTGATTATCTGCTTAGGGTTTCTCCCACAGAACACTGCAGAAGGGCTGCATCCTACAATGGCTCACACCATTTTCCCTAATCCTCTGTTCCCATAATTTCCCTTAGAAGTAAAAGCATCTCGGCCGGGCGCGGTGACTCACGCCTGTAATCCCAGCACTTTGGGAGGCCAAGGCGGGCGGATCACGAGGTCAGGAGATGGAGACTATCCTGGCTAACGTGGTGAAACCCCGTCTCTACTAAAAATACAAAAAAAAAAAAAATAGCCGGGCGTGGTGGTGGCACCTGTAGTCCCAGCTACTCGGGAGGCTGAGGCAGGAGAATGGCGTGAACCCGGGAGGTGGAGCTTGCAGTGAGCCGAGATCGCGCTGCTGCACTCCAGCCTGGGCGACAGAGCGAGACTCCGTCTCAAAAAATAAATAAATAAATAAAAAATAAAGAAGTAAAAGTATCTCCCACCCTCTTCCCTGGAGGTACCTTCCTGCATTCAAATAAGTGCTTCAAGGCACAAGTCTGTTTCATTACGTTCCTCCTCCACTGGCAGGAAAGAGCGGTTGAGGAGAGTTCTCCTCCATCACATCCTGCCTAAATTCTGCAGCAGCAGCCCAGGTGTCCTTTAGTAAGGAAGCAAAATGGACTCCTAAAATGGGCGAAAAAGTATTCATTCTTAGACCAAGAAGACACTTTGCGTCATAAATATTCAATGTTAATTAGCTAGTAATTCGTGTTTCCTTGGATTTGGAACCTACATACATTTTTTAATGGACACTGTCTTCTCTCAGGAGTAGCCAGCTCTAGATTTTTTGGCACAATTATATGATATGTGAACTAATGATGATTTCTTGTACTAGTATAAAATTTTAATGGGGGGAGGGGAGAAACAAAATAGAGACCAGTCTTCAAATTTAACATAAATGGAACAATAAACAGTCATGAAGGAAATTTTTATGATACAGTAACTGTTATTAGCTTGATGTGCTGACTGAGAAAAGATACAGTATGCACTTTTTAAAGTGACTTTTAAGGAAGAATAATTTGTTTGCATAAAATGTGATTACTTACCCTCATAAATGTTTATTTGAATTTATTGCACTATAACCAAAGCCAACTGCATCAGCCACAGCAGGGAAACCAAATTTTGAATTGCAAAGCAAACCAAAGGTGTGACTGGGAACACATCAGCATCCAATGCTGACTCGGAGAAATTGAGGCAGTTAAAATTCTGCTGATTTTTCAGGATGTGAGACTCTAATGAAGCTGAATTGTTTAGAAACAGAAAAAAACTGTAACTCAGACTGGGACCCACCTCTTCTGAAAAAACAACACCTAGATGACACCAGTAAGCACCTTTCTCAGCTTCACCTGACTTTCCACCTGCTGTCCACACTAGAGTCTATCAACTGGCTATTTGAGGCTGAATCCAGCTGCAGATGCCATTTTTATAAGTCCACATTTAAATGCATTTAGAAGAGTTTAGAATAAAGCCCAGGTGGGCTCTGCTTTCCCAACTGACCAGTGTCCATCATGCCCTCTCTTCTTAGGCTCCTACCTTCATTCACGTACCTGCCCCACCCAGTGGGCCCTGGAACCCTTGATCCACACACATGCCTTCCAAGGACTCATGAAATACTGCTGTCTATAGACAAACGATAAAACCAAAAGCCATCGAGGACAAGGGCTCACATTGTCTCCATCATTGGCTAGAAGGAGAAGAATGAGAAAAGGAGGAGGAAGAGATCTTGATCCTTAAAAGTGCCTTTACACTAATTTTCTCAACTGAGGCTGCCCAAGGAACCACAGTAAGTCAGAGGTAGAGGAGGCTCCAAGGCTTCTACTCCCCATTTCCCAGTGCCCAGCTCTTCCAAAGATCCCAAAACTACTTCTACTCCAAACCGAGTGGATTCTTTGCAAGCAATCACTGATAAAAGATACAAGAGATGGCTAAGGAACATCTTGGAGGTCATGAGGAAGGACAGGCAAGCCTCTACGGAACAGACCAGGACATCTTGAAATCTTTCCACCATGTGGAAATAAAATTTATTTTTTAGTGGTGATTCTCCATAATCAAAGGACTCCATTTTTTTGTATTATCCAGGAAAATATCTTTAATATTGTGATTTTTGTTTTTAGATTAACAGGAAGTCTTGGTTTCTGATGTTACCTTGTTACTCCTTTTAACTTTGTCACACTAAGACAACACGAAGAGGGACAAGAAAGGGGGTGGAAAGGAAAGAGTAAAAATGTTGAACCTTACAATGTGCCAAGCACCAGGCTTGGTGAATTAACATGTGGTATGTCATAAGATCCTCACACAACTACATTTTAGAAAGCAGGAAGCAGGGCTGGGAGCAGTGGTGAATTAACATGTGGTATGTCATAACACCCTCACACATCTACATTTTAGAAAGCAGGAAGCAGGGCTGGGAGTAGTGGCTCACACCTGTAATCCTAGCACTTTGGGAGGCCGAGGCGGGTGGATCACTTGAGGTTAGGAGTTCGAGACCAGCCTGGCCAACATAGTGAAACCCCGTCTCTATTGAAAAAAAAAAAATCAGCTGGGCCTGGTGGGGGACACCTGTAATCCCAGCTACTCAGGAGGCTGAAGCAGGAGAAATGCTTGAATCTGGGAGGAGGAGGTTGCAGTGAGCTGAGACTGTACCACGGCACTGCAGCTCCAGCCTGGGTGACAGAACGAGACTCCATCACAAAAAAAAAAAAAAAAGAAAAGAAAGAAAGAAAAAGAAATCAGGCAACAGGAGTTAAGTAGCTTGGCCAAGGTCCCAGAGCAAGTAACAAAGTAGCTGGCCTATACTTTGTCTTTTAGAACTGCTGGCCAACTACCATTTACATTCACTGCTTCATTTTTTGGGATTGTATTACATGAGTTAGGCTTTGATTTGTAAGTGGAAATAAAAATGCAACATATTTACTGTGACATCTTCATTTACCTAGACAACTTTCATTTCCCCTTCACTTGCTTAGTTAAGGCCTTCATGGTCCACAGTTCATTCAATAGGCACAATTTTAAAATCTGATTTCCAGAATGTTTCTTTAAAGAATGTAGTTATAGAGGACAGAAGGGGCAGTTGTCAGTATTCATACCAATGCATTGAGACAATTACTGGAAATTTAGCCTAAAAGAGGGTTTTTCTGAACTCTACTAATCACTGTTTCAGCTCTCTTATTTCTTTCAGTTATAGAACAGCTGAGGTTTAGTGAACAATTTCAGCCTCTTCCTACAGAGAGCTCTTCACCAGTGGTTCACTTCATCTGGAGCACCAGCTAATAGCTCAAATGTAAGGGCTGATAACTGTATTTTAGATACCAGGTTATGCCTGTGTCCACCATAGGAAGTTGGTTTTGTCTTTTTAAAATATCATCATGAAAGCATCCTCACAGCATGAAACCTGAGAGAGAGAGAGCTCAATACTTCATACAATGTGTCAAGAGAAGCATTAGCAACCACAAAAAAATTTACAATATTTTATTTCCACTTTATTTCCCTAAGCCCCCTGTTGTCCAGACCTTTCTGGCCTTCAGAAACCACAGGTAGCTTCTGGCAAAGCTTGAGACAGATGGCGATGTGAAGTTCCTGGCAAGTGAGATAAATGTGAGCAATATCAAGCACCCACCTCACAACTTTGGAGGCTCACGACGCACCAGCTCCTACCCGAGGCCTCAGGAAGGATCGCTTGCTAAAATAATTTTCTGGTTAACAAGAAACCTATGCAACATTTTATGCCTGGGTGTTTCGAAAGCCCCCTCTGAGGGATCCACACTATGCATTTTAATTTAGGTTTACATGTTTTGTCTTTTAGTAGAATGAACTGTGCATAACAACACATTTCACAATATAAAATAAAAAACCCTTGATACAGTTCATCTACTGGAAGGTTTTAACTCTACATCCAGAACAAATAAAGCAAAATAAACACAGCAGTACTCCAACTTTCCTCCTCCAACATTTGCTAACTTTTTTGGCCATAGATTTAGGGGAGATTGGGGATAGGGAGGAAGACAGAGGAAATAGTAAGACACAGGAACATTGGTGACATGCTAAGGAATCCTTAATATCATCTGGAATCAATGATCTTTTATTGAAAATCAGAGTGCATAAAACAATGTCCTGAATTCTTCTTACTCATTTTGCCACATTTGCTGGAAATCAATCCTTTTGCAATCAGCTCAGATATCAAATAATCTTTGAGAGGATTTATGCCCTTTCAGCATGTAAATGTGTATTTTAGATCCATTTGAAAACACAGTAGGAGGGTTAATTTGAAGATCATAGACATTTTCTATTTGTTTTGGTTCAATTCCACAAGGTTTTATAGAGTTCCAGGTTGGTACACAAATTCTCTAACAGAAGCTCTGTCCAGGAGCTGTCACTGGCCTTTAAGAACATCCACTTTATCCCAACCTCTGATGGATGAGAAATGAAACCCAGAACACTTAGATGATTTGCCTGTAATTACACAATATGAGGAAGAGCTGCCTTCAAATGTATCATCAGAAGGTCATGTTTTCCATGTTTGGCATCTGATTCTCCATCCGCATCAGCAGGACTTGAAGGCACCAGTGCCCTCTGGCAGACAGACCCATTTCTCCAAGGACTTGGATGTGTTTGACTAGTGGGATTGGGCAAATGACACTCCTTTAGAGAATCTTTTGTAATTAGACCAGTCATGAACATATCTTTGCTTCATTCCATAAACCTGGCAACTTCTGAAAATCTGGAATTCTCCTTTCAATTTATTTTCCTTTGTCCCATGAAATCATCTGAGATAGGAAAATAACTGTGCTACTTCTCTACACTTCATCAGCCTAAAAGTTAAAAGACTATGAGGCAAATGAGGCTGAAAAGACTCCCTTCTTTCTATTTTCTAAATTCTATTCATCCTCCAAGACTCAATCCCAACAAATCTTCACAAGATCTTTCCCAAACAATCATAGCCCACCCTGACTTACTATGGATGTTAACTTCAGTATCATATATTATTCAGGTCTCTTCCCAACTTGATTTCTGTAAAAACTGAGAGTTAAAAAGAAGAATAAACATAAAGATCAAAATATTGACTTTATTACTACGTGATTTTGCTAAGACTAACCCCTAGTTTATTTATCTAGGTAGACTTACCCCCAATCTCAGGCAGCCCTGGAGCAGGGCAAGAGGTGGATGCACACCCAAGTGAAACACACAAGTTGGAAGGGAAGCATCGAGGAAGGCCCATGCTCTGTATAGACAAGCTAGCTCCCAAGAGGAGAAAGGAGGATGGAATTGTCCTGAGCATACTGTTCAGTCCATGAAGGTGGAGTGAATAAAGGGGAAAGAGAAACCTGGAGTGTACTCCATTGAAGTCCCCCTCAAAAAAGCCAGTGGTGGGAAAAATGTTCTCCTCCAATTCATAGTCTTGCATTACATTTCTCTATGCATGTTAGTTCTCTTCTTTTATCTGGATTTTTAAGCTTCTTCAGGACAGAAACCATGTCTTAAATGGCTTGTGTCCCTCACTGAAGCAAATACAATACTGAGTAAATAATGAATACTTAATACATACTTGGTTGTTAAAGGATTGATCATAACAGCAAGGGTTGTACAAAGTTAACTTTTCAAATTTGTGAGGAAACAAACCTTAGAACACTAATGTGTTTCATCAGTAGGTTGACCAGGTTGGACATGGGTCCCAAGTCAAATTCTCATATCCAAAAGATCCAACTTAAAACCATGCAGCCTTATTCTCTATTACAAAAATCTTCTATGCTGTTATTTGGAAAACATTATAACCTAAAGACTTTGAGCATAATTTGGCATAAATTCAATCTCTACACACAACCTAAATGTTTGTTCTCCTTTAATGAAATAGCTATTGATAACATTGCAAAGTTTCACTGAAAGAAAAATAAATACTTATTAAAAGAAATAAGAATTAGAAACTGCTGCTTAATGCGCAAATATGGGTAGGATATGCCCAAATTCCTCCAAATTGGTTGATGAAAGTCTTGCAGTTATGCTATAATCAGAAGAAAAAAAAAACTACACTCGGAAGAAATGCCCTACCAGCATACTAAGAAAATTATGAGTATAAAATTCCTGAGTTTACACACCATCTGCCAAGATATTAAAAATGCAGTTCCAGACATAAAGGGAAGCACAACAAACTAAAGAAATTTCTAAATTGGAATGTCCTGAAATTGAAACTCTAAAAATTCCCCCAAGTGGGAACTGATGAGGTGAAGCCTTCTTTCTGAACAGACACATATTGAAAGAGCAGTAGTGAAATTGTTACCTACATAGTGTCCTCCCCTAGGAAGAGGGAATTTTTAAATATTCCTAAAAGAAAAAGAAAAAACAAACCTCCTTAGTTGCCTCAGCCTACAGACAGATTAAAACTTCCCCACTGTGGCCACTGTCATTCTAGGTTGTCCTTTGTAAGATTAACCCATTGTTCCAAAAATACACAGGTTCCAGGCCCATACATTTTTTGATTTTTCAACTGTTACATGTTTTTACATCTTTCTGGGGGTACATGTGATATTTTGATACATGCATACAATGTGTAGTGGTCAAATCAGGGTATTTAGCATATTTATCACCTTGAACATTTATCATTTCTTTGTGTTGGGAACATTTCAGATCTTCTAGCTATTTTGAAATATAAAATATAATGTTAACTATAGTCACTCTACTTTGTTAGCAAACATTATAACTTATTTTTTCTATGTAACTGTATGTTTTTACCTATAAACCTCTCTCTCTTCGTCTCCTCTACCTCCTTCACACAAACACACACACACACACACACACTCACACACACATTCACCCCCTTCCCAACCTCGGGTAACTATCATTCTACTTTCTACCTCCATGAGTTCAACATTTTTACCTCCCACATGTGAGTGAGACCACGCAATATTTGTCTTTCTGTATCTGACTTATTTCACTTAACGTGATGACCTCCATTTCCATCTATGTTGCTACAAATAACATGTTTTCATTCTTTTTTATGAATAAATGGTATTCCTTTGTGTGTATATACCATGTTATCTTTATGTATTCATCCACTCACGGCCACTTAGGTTGATTCCATATTTTGGCTATTGTGCATAGTGCTACAATAAACGTGGAGGTACAGGTATCCCTTTAATATACTAATTTCCTTTCCTTTGGATAAATATCCAGTAGTGGGATTGTGGGATCATATGGTAGTTCTATTTTTAACTTTTTGAGAAACCTCCATGCTGTTTTCCAAAATGGTTGTACTAGTTTACATTCCCACCAACAGTGTATGAAAGTTTCTTTTCCTCCATATCCTCATCAGCATTTGTTATTTTTTGGTTTTTGTAATAGCCATTTTAACTGGGATAAGATGATATCTCATTGCAGTTTTGATTTGCATTTCCCTTATGATTCGTGATGTTGAACATTTTTTCATAATAGCCATTGGCCATTTGTATGTTTTATTCTGAGAAATATCTACTTCGATTTTTGCCCACTTTTTAATGGAATTATTTATTTTTTTGCTGTTGAGTTCTTTGAGTTCCTTGTATATTCTGGATATTAGTTCCCTCTTGGATCAAAAATTTGCAAATATTTTCTCCCATTCTGTGGGTTGTCTCTTTACTCTGTTTATTGTTTCCTTTGCTGTACAGAACCTTTTTTTTTTTTAGTTGGAGTCTCACTCTGTTGCCAGGCTGGAGTGCAGTGGTGCGATCTCAGCTCACTGCACCCTCCGCCTCCCAGGTTCAAGCGATTCTCCTGCCTCAGCCTCCCAAGTAGCTGGGACTACAGGCACGCACCACCATACCCAGCTAGTTTTTGTATTTTTAATAGGGACGGGGTTTCGCCACGTTGGCCAGGATGGTCTTGATATTCCGACCTCGTGATCTGCCCGCCTTGGCCTCCCAAAGTGCTGGGATTACAGGCGTGAGCCACCACACCCAGCCCAGAAGCTTTTTAATTTAATACATTCACATTTGTCTATTTTTATTTTTGATGCCTGTGCTTTTGAGGTCTTAGCCATAAAATCCTTGCCTAGACCAATGTCTTAAAGCATTTTCCCAATGTTTCCTTCTAGTACTTTTATAGTTTGGGTCTTACACTTAGGTCTTTAATCCATTTTGAGTTGATTTTTGTGCATGGTGAGAGATAGGAGTCTAGTTTCATTCTTCTGCATATGAATATCCAGTTTTCCCAGTACCATTTATTGAAGAAGTTGATCTTTCCCCGATGTATGTTCTTGTAATAATTTTTTGTGCATAATTTTTGTGCATAAAGTTAGCCAGTGTCCCAGAAAGTGAAGTCCCAGACTCCTGGAGACCCAGACTCCTTATATTTGGAAGAACCTGTTTTCAAGAAATGCCTACCTGAGACCTCTAACCATATCCAACCCAGCTAATTGTATCCAAGATGATCCTGGACCCAGGCCAGTGAAAATTGCTTCAATAAAGTCAGAAAGCTCAAAACATAAATTTGCAGAGCTCAAATCCAAGAGGGAACTCACCCACAACTCCAGTTTCTGTGAGAGATCCACAGGTGCAGTGGGCCCTGCCTGTGCCTATTGATGGCACGTATGGAAAGTATGGAACATATTAGAATATATGAGAGCTCCTTCTTCAAGTAACTTAGACATAAATGTATAGGATCATGGTTCTCAAACTGTAGCAAGCATCAGACTCACATGGAAGCCTTAGGAAAACTCAGATAGTTGGGCCTCATTCCTACAGTTTCTGATATGGTGGGTCTTGGGCGGGGCCAGTAAATCTGTATTCCAAAAAAGCTCCCAGTGGTTGCTCCTGCTGCTCAAGGGGGCCACGCTTTCAGAACTACTGGCCTACAGAGTGAAACAAGAGCATGGGAAGGGCATGCCCTGGCCAGGACCTCCACAAAGGCAATCATCCACGTGTGCCAACAAATTGAATGTGTTCATTGAATCTGTTTTCACTGATGAGCATCTCTTATGCCTCTTATTCCAAGTCTTGCCCTGCTGATGAGAGCAAGAATGTCTCTGCCTTTGATAACCTCTCTCAGGTCTAGGGTCTTAAACAGCCCTCCAGATGTTACCCTTTCTCTGCACTTTGGGACTCACATTTCTAAAGCCAAGAAAACCAATACCTCCACGAATTTATTTCTACAATCCAAAAATCAAGCCATTGCAGATAGAAATGACTGCCCAGTGAGTGCTTAACTACAGTTATAAATTAAAAATAGATCAGCAAAGACATATGCAAAGTCACCTTTAAAAGAAAAATGCCTTGAATGTGGCTTTTGTTGAAATAATTTTTTTAAAACAAGAAAAGAAAAATGCTACCCAGATGTACAAGCCTTGACTTTCATCAGATTGAAGCTACTTAGACACCTAAAACCCAATCAGTCAGAAAGAAGATATAATTGGTCTTAAAAAACTTAGGAAAGATGGGACTTCTAAGAGCCAATCTGTCAGGCCCCTTTGAGCAGCATCCAGGGATCAGCGAAGCACTTTATCAGTCCAGCTCAGATACCAATCTACCTGCTGTGGATTCTCTTTTCTAAAAATATATGCAATGGGACACACCAGTAGAGACTTATGACATGAAATATTTAAACTATATTATTAAATCTCTTAGCCTTGATTCCATTGTCACCAAGTGGCCTTCTGATAATTTGGTTTTTCATGCATGGAACATATCTTCAGGAAAAGTGTGCCCAGTCAGGCCAACCAAGAATGTCTGGTCCCGTGGTAATAACATTTCTCTTAGTAAGCTGGCATCCTGACTTCATACATCAGCCTGTTGAGAGCTTTGCTCATGTGAGGAATTTCCCTTAAGTCCAGTTTAACTCAGGAATACCAGCAAGATCTCAGTTTCTAGATTTTGGAACCCAAAAAGCAAGACTTTGATTCTCCCAGGCATATGCCATCTTAGGAAGCCTCCTAATGAGTGGTCGGCTGTTGTGCAGCACCCTGGGAGGATGAAGCCAACAAGATAACTAAGACACTTGGTGGTTGAGCAATAAGATCACACTCCATGGAGAAAGAAAGCGTAAAAACAAGCTGGCTGGGCGCAGTGGCTCACGCCTGTAACCCCAGCACTTTGGGATGCCGAGGCAGTTGGATCACGAGGTCAGGAGTTCAAGACCAGCCTGGACAAGATGGTGAAACCCCAGCTCTACTAAAAATACAAAAATTAGCTGGGCACAGTGGCAGGCGCCTGTAATCCCAGCTACTCAGGAGGCTGAGGCACGAGAATTGTTTGAACTTGGGCAGCAGAGGTTGCAGTGAGCCGAGATCGTGCCACTGCACTCCAGCCTGGGCGACAGACTGAAACTCCATCTCAAAAAAAAAAGGACAAGCTTCAGAGTTAAATAAACTTGTGGTAAATCCTCTCTCTATAGCTTACTAGCTTTGTTATTTAACTGCTGACTCCTCATTTCCCCATTTACAACATGGGGAATATGCCTATGTTATAAATCAGAGATTCTCAAAGTGTGGACCTTAACCAACAGCATCAAAATTCCTAGGAACTCGTTAGAAATTCAAATTCTGAAATCTATCCCAGACCTACTGAATCAGAAAGTCTGGCAGGTAGGCCTGCAATCTGTGTTTTAACAAGCCCTTCTGATGTTCACTAAAGCTTGAGAAGCACTGACAGTGATTTTTGCAAAGATTAGAAATTATGTATATAAAGTATTTAGTATAGGTCCTGGCACAAAAGCAGATATTCAAGGTATTTTTGTGACTGTTATTATTACTACCCCCGTAAATTTGGAGAATGAAGAATTCTCTAAGGATCTCACCACTCTATAAGTAATAATTTCATTTTTTACTTGGCCAAGGACACTTCTATTTATTTATTTATTTATTTTATTTTTTAGATGGAGTCTCGCTCTGTCACCTAGGCTGGGGTGCGGTGGCGTGATCTCGGCTCACTGCAAGCTCCACCTCCCGGGTTCACGCCATTCTCCCGCCTCAGCCTCCCAAGTAGCTAGGACTACAGGCATCCGCCACCACGCCCGGCTACGTTTGTTTCTGTATTTTTAGTAGAGACGGGGTTTCACCACGTTAGCCAGGATGGTCTCGATCTCCTGACCTCGTGATCTGCCCACCTCGGCCTCCCAAAGTGCTGGGATTACAGGCGTGAGCCACCACGCCTGGGCAACAACTGTATTTTAAACATACAGTTAAGATCCTTGCATTTGTTCAATTTTTTTTTTTTTACTTTTTTGCTTGTTTGTTTTTATTTTGTTTTTTGAGACAGGGTCTTGCTTTGTCACCCAGGCTGGAGTGCAGTGGCGTGACCATGACTCATTGTCATCTCAACTTCCCAGGTTCAAGTGGATTCTGGAGTGCAGTGGCGTGACCATGACTCATTGTCACCTCAACTTCCCAGGTTCAAGTGGATTCTCCCACCTCAGCCTCCCAAGCAGCTGGGAGTACAGGCATGCACCATCACACCTGGCTATATTCAGCTTTTATAAGTTTTCTTTCTTTACTCAAGAGCATAGATACTTTTTAATATGCTATATAGTTTTTAAATTTCAATGGCTGCCTAATATTCCATAGTTGATATGCTGTAGTTTTTGTAATTATTTCCTTAGTTTTGACTACTTATACTCCTTCTAATTTTTCATGAGATGTCCTTGGAATACAATTTGTTCCTTTTCTTTGAATATTGCAAACTCCTAAACAGAAGAATATTATGTCACAGTGAATTAATTTTTGTGTGTTCTTATGTATGGTCTAAAAACAAACTTGTATGCTAATGTTTTCACTGGACTATCCTCAACTAGAAATGGCATCCCTTGGTAATTTATGAAGCTGAAAAATTGTTTCTACTGTTAGAAATGTTTTAAATTACTATCCCATTTGAATATTTATACTTAATAAAAAGTGATGTGACTACATAAACTGTTATTTGAGTTGCTCATAGAAATTCACAATTATTCTTACCTGTAAGTCCATATAAATGAATGACCTTTTCTTAAACCTGAAGTTATAATTCTAAACTGGCTGAAAACTGATGGATTCCTGAATTCCTTTATGTGAAAAAATATGCAAATAAAACAAAATTGAAAATAGATTCCTTTTTCAGTCTTGTATTTAAATATTTAAATATCTGGTGAATTTTACTATTAATATATAATTATAAATCCTGACTTGTGTTAAATTAATGTATATGATATGTGAATGAAATGAAAAACAATATGACATTGATGTTTATATTATAAGCAAAGACAAGTATGTATAATGAAAGAAAAAATAAAAACATAACATTTACTTGTGGTATAATAACTTAAACATGTAAAAGGTTGAGATATTCATTTATGGTTCGGAATTATTATGCTAAAATATATGTAAATTGAACGATTCGTATTTTTATTGCTGCTAATGTCATCACTAACATTAGGAAAGATACTGTGTTTGGGAATGTGGTTTGGTGTGATTATAACTGGAAAAATAGTTTGATTATCCCTAGCTCTCATTTCACTAAGGTCCTGGAATTGTACATTTTGTTTATCCTTAAGAAAAGAAGGGATCTTGAATTTTGCACTTTTATTAAAATTAGAATTTCAACTTTCAGGCAGTAAACTATGAACTTCAGTTCCAAACTATAATCAATTGCAGAAAATGTAAAAACCCAATAAAATAGAGATAAATTATGGGATCTAATGAGAAACCTCAGCAAGGTTACTAGAACAGGATCAATTTATGAAAATCAATATTTCTTTATTCCAGCCCTAATCAAATAGAAAATAACCTACTCTTTCTTTACAGCAAAGCATTTAAGAATCAACCTAAGAAAGAATATAAAGGATTTTTATGGGAACTAATTTAAAATTTTAATTATGGGACATAAGGAAAGGATATGAATGCATAGAAGTGATAACAACATCGTAAAGATGACATTTCTCTTCAAATTAATTACAGACTTAGTATCATTCCAAATACAATTTCTCCTTTGAGGAATGTGATAAATTCACTCAAAAAATGTATACAGTGGAATAAAAGAACATAACTATGTTAACTTTGAAAAAGAAGAACAAAAAAGGAGGACTCACTCTACTAGATACTAACACATATCACAAAGTCTTTGTATTAAAAATCTTATAGTACTCACAGAATAGATAGATGCAAAGAATCGAGTAGCGCTCAAAGACACACACACATCCATGCACACACATCACACACATATGCATGCATACAATACGCACTCACACGTACGTGCAAAGGTGCTTGATTTGTGATAAAGATGGGTACCACAAAGCAATGGGGGATGAGAGATTATTTAGTAGATTTTGCTGTATAGACTTCTCATCACCTCACCTGTCAGCACCCTGTGTGAACCACCATCATCTCTCACCTAGATTCCTTCAAAAGCCTACTGTCTGGTCTTATTGCTTCTTCATGGTCCCTATCAGCCTATTTAACAGTAATTCTGTTAAAACAGTCAAATTATGCTTGCGCTTCTAAAATACAAACAACTTATATTAAGATACAAAGAACCTTTTGTAGTCCAACCAAATTAGGCAGGGAAGAATGGCTAACAGTTTTCACACTTTCTATTATTAGGCACGATTTGATTTCACATATTAACTCATTTAACCTTCACAATAAACCTGTGAAATAGGCACTATTATTTCCTTCACCTTAAAGAGTCACAGAGGTAAAGTAATTTACTAAAGGTCACAAGTAACTTAACCTCTCTGTGTAGACAGAAAGCTGAGATTCGAAACCTGGATTTCTGGCTCCAGAATATTTGGGCAAGGTTTGCAGTGCAAAAAGATTTGTTTACTAGACTTTTAGATCCCCCATGGAGTTTTATAATAATTCATTAGAACATTAAATCATGATATTCAGAACTGATATTATAGCCATTCTTCAATTTTATGGCAGGAGGGAATTATTAACAAAATGTATTACAAAAGTCCAGCATATTGCCTGACTCTGCCCCAGCTTTCTGATATGTGCCTTCTTTCTACCACACTGCTTTTTACGTTATTCTCTTCTGCAGCATGCATAGCGGACTGTTCCTTCGTTCCTTGGTTCCTTGATCTCGCCCATGGGAAGTCAGACTATCAAGGAGGCCTGCGCATTCCAAGGATGCTCTACATTTGGCTGTGATGTTGCAGCACAGGTGTGGAGGTGGAACAAGACACATCACTTGGTTTTGCTGGGGCAAAGATAGGCCAGAAAGGAAGCCAGGAAGTAGAGCTGATCTGGGTTCAGGGGATTCAGTTTGCAATGAACTCAAAAGCCACTTAAATAGTTTAAAGCAAGAAGAGTAATGCAATGTGCAGGATGGACTGCAGTGTGTGTGCGCGTGTGTGTGTGTGTGTGTGTGTGTGTGTGTGTGTGTGTGGGAGAGAGAGAGAGAACATTTAATGTGTCAGGACTCGCCTCTGTGTCCAACACACTATGCATTTAGACAGGTTCTGCCTGAAGCATCTCAATTATCTAAATTATCTAAAAAGTCAAGGACATTAACCCAGCCTTGAAAACAATATTGACCTATGCAGTCATGACCTAAGGGAAAGACTTAATTAAACTCGAAACATGAAAAATTAAATGCATCACCCACCTTTCAGGTTGAGGTTTTGGGAGTTGGATAGGCAGGAGGGGAACTGATAATGTATTTGCTATTGACATCTGACATTATTTCACTTTAAACTTAACATGCATATATAAAGAACCTTCTAGAATTATCATCAATTCTAACATTAGTTGGATGTTCAATATGTGTACCAGATACTGTGCTGTTTGGCTTGCAATCTCTCATTTGATCCTAACATAACCAACAGAATAAGGAATTACTATTCTCAGTTTATGGATGGGAAAACTGAGGCCAAGAGGGGTTATGATACTTGTCCTTTCTACTAAAGAGAAGAAAAGGGATTTGAATTGAAATCCAAGTCCAAAATATGGGGTTTTTTATTTTTCTTTTGGTGATAAAAGATTTTGCTCATTTGAAAAACAAGATACAAGAGATAATCAAGCAGCAGAGGATAACAGAGTGAGCATGACCTCACTACTCGGTTTGAGAATAAACATTACAAACACAGTTAAGATCCCTTATGTTCATTCCACTCCCTCCCAGAAAAACCCAGAACATGAACTTGGTGTTTATTGTTCCTAAACATTCCTTTATATTTTTACTACATATGTGTGTATACTTAAAGAATGTATTATATTGTTTTGGCTGCTTATTTAAACTTTAAATAAATGGTATACTGTAAGTATCATTTTACGATTTTCATTTTCACTCTTCATGGTGAGTGGGTGAAATTTATTCATGTTGATAACTTTAGCTCTAGTTTATTTATGTCATCTGCTATATAATATTCTACTTCATAAATGCACCATGACTTATTATTCATTCTTCTGCAGACGGATATTTAAACACCTTTGACTTGTCATAATTACAAGTAATGCTGCAATGAACATACTTGTACTTTTCTGCTGCCAGAATTTGTTCAGAGGACATAACTAGAAGTACAATGGTTGGGTTATAGCATGCCTGTATCTTCAAATTTACTAGATGTTGTAAAATTACACCAGAGTGATTGTTCTAATTGCCACTACCATAAACAGTGCATGGCAGGACCAGTTGCCTGCATCTATGTCAGCACTTGGTTTTACCACGCTTTTTAAGTTTTGCCAACCCTAAAAGTATGAAATGGCATCCAGTTGTGGTTTTAATTTGAATTTTTCCTAATCACTCTTGAGGTTGAGCTGCTTTTTATACGTTTATTTAACTGCTAGTTTTCCTCTTCTGTGATTTGTCTGTTCATCAACTTGAACCAAGAAGATACAAGAAGATGCATGGCTCCTCCTCAGGACAAAACATTGCAGCTAAGTGCTCAGTTTAAAGATGCTCATTAACTAGTAGAGCAGACAGGTGAAGGCAGACATTTGCACCTCTGTGGGGTAAGTGCCATAGATGCCCACAAGTAGAATGTACTCAGTGGAAAGTAAGGCTTCCCAGAGAAGACAGCCCTTAAGCTAATAGTTTAAGAATTCATGGTGGCCAGGTACAGAAGGGGGAAACAGCATTCTAAAGTGAGGAAATGGTATCTGCAAAGTCATGCAGGTAAAGAAGAACCTGATATGTCTAATAATGTAACAACTAGCTAAAATTAATTGGAACAGAGGCTGCTTAAGGCATACATATGACTGAGAAGGGTAAGGGGTGGCCAGGCCTTGAAGCCCTTGTATTCAGCACTAAGGAATGTATTGTTCTGTAGTCAGAGAAAAACATTTAAGAATTGTGAGTAGGGGAGTGTCATATCTGCACTCTAGGGCTGAGACAGAGGTGCAGAGTTGAAGAGGGATGGGCTGAAATAGAAACTTTTTATTCTCTATATAACTCATTCTTTATTAGCAATGAGAACTGTTAGAAAGCTACTGCAATACTGATAAGATTCTACACCAAGGCAATGACACAAAGGCCAGAGAGAAGAATTGAATTTAGGAGAAATCAAGACCAGGTAATCAACAGAGCTTGATGGTCTATTTGAAGGATACTGGTGGGGTCTGAAGAGTTAATAAATAGTACCTCCCTTTCCCAAGCCTGAGTTCAGAACCCAATTAATAGATAGACATAGGTGTCAAGCAGATAAATATCAAAATATAAGCTTTATTACTGATAAGGCCTATGTAGAAGGATATGCCTCAGGCATGTAGCCACATGGGCTTACTAATACCAGATATGATAAAGGAACATGTATCAACCCAGGCACTGGCAGCCCTGGACACCTAGAGTTCGCCCTCTGACTCCCAGGTGCCTGCTAAGGAGCATGTAAATCCTCTGCAGCCAGGTGACAAAACAGAGGCAGGAGGAACATGAGCCACCATGCTCAGTTCCTTCATTAAAACTTAGCAACCAGATGAATCATCCCTCTCTTCCAGCAAGGAATGAGTGTAAGTGTGTCTGGAGCGGAAGGGGCAACCAAAAAAAAATGAGCATTTAATGAAGTGTCCTCCAAATGGAAATTTAAGAAAGGAAAGGTCCTCCAATGAATAATAGTAATAAGACTTACATTTCATTTTGAGCAGTGACTATGGCTTTCCAGGACTTCTCCACCAACCCATAGCTCTGTGATTTCAGGTAGGTTATTTATAATACTATGGCTAACTTGTACAGAGAAACTACTATGTACCTCCATGATAAATGCTTTCCATACACGAACTCACTTACTCTTCACATCAACTCCATGAGGAGAATACTGTAAGTATCCCCATTTTACAGATGAGTGAACTAAAGAGTTTAAGCTATTTCTCAAAGTCACCTTTGTAAGTGGCAGAGCCAAAACTGAAACACTAGACTGACTCCAGAGCTTTTATTTTTAACCAGGACACCTCCCAGACCTGGCACATTGAAAACACTGTTTTTATTACTATGGCTATTCTATCATGGTCATCTCTTCACAGAAGAAAGGATGGGGGTCTTGAGGTAGAAGTTAGAAATGTCTGGTAAATGCCAAGAGAGGCAACATAATTCAAACCAATCATTTTGGGAGATGGAGTACATCTTCTCTGGATAGTAAAGGAAATATGCTTGTAGGTTCTGCTGTTAGCAGAGATTTTATTCACCTGTGAAGGAATAAACACAGCACATCTGGGGAACAAAAAGGAAAATGTCTTGGCTGACATAGCATATCCCCAGTGGGGTATGGTGTGTGATAGAAGTGTATTAAGTGCAAAAGGGTCAATTGAGGAAGACAAGGCTGTATTATAATTCTGTTGTGTGTTTAATTTTCTCCAAGAAGAAATAATTAACTTGGAGCTATGTTTTCTACCTCATGTCCAAAATAGTGGTTGACCAAATTTGTGTGCTTATAAATACTTTTTTTTTTGGATAAGGTGTGTGCTATAGACTGAAGGTTTGTGTCCTCCTGAAATTCATAGGTTAAATCCTAGTGCCCAAAGTGATGGTGTTTGGAGGTGAAGCACTTGGGAGGTGATGAAGTCACGATGGTAGAGCACTTGCAAATGGGATTAGTGCCCTTATAAAAGAAGCCCTGGGGAACCCTCATCCCTTCTACCATTTGAGAATGCAGCAAGAAGACATCTATCCATGAACCAGGAAGTAGGCCTTCAACTAACACCAAATTTGCCAGCCCCTTGATCTTGGACTTCCCAGCCTCTAGAACCATGAGAAATAAATTTCTGTTTTTATAAACCACCCAGTCTATGGCATTCCCATACAGCAGCCCAAAAAAGACTAATACAGTATGTAAGACGGTAAAATATTCTTCATTCCCAAACCATGCAGGTTTTGTACACTGGCAAAGGGATAAGTGGAATTAATGTAATTAGAATTAATGCCATACCTCACTGATAATAATATTGTTTAAAGTAGACATGGTTTCTTTCTAAAACAAGCCTGGCTCAGGAGAGCAGGAAAGGGCCATAACAATTGGACCTATTCTAAAAACTGCAAAGTCAAAGCCATGCTAAATGGAGGAAATGTCCCTCCTCCTATGAGACTGAACTGTGTTGTTTCTTAGAAAAATGAATGCTTACGTTGGTGAGGAGCTGAGTAAGAAAATCGGGCACTGAACCTTCTTGGTAGTAAGACAGAACTGTATTCCAAAGATCCACACAGAACTTCACACAAAGGACCAGAGGCCACCCCACCGCCATCCCAGGGCCTTGCAAAAGGCTCTGAGACATTGTTCATTACTGCAACTGCAGGAAGCCCCCAGTAAGCAGAATTGCTGCCTGAACCCCACGGAGTGTGGCTCATGAGTGTGCCTGACTTGGGGACCTGAAGCAGTGGTGCTATCTGGGACTGGGGATCAGCGAGAAAGAGGGATATAGATCAGGGAACACTCTCCTAGCAAAGTTCTGCGCATGTAAAGACCTCCCCATCTTTGTGCAGCTTTAAGCAAGATAAAGCTCACACCAAACTGCCTTTCTCAGATCCCCTATCTCGTCAATAAAAATTTCATAAATTTGTCTAATAGTCTTGTAAGGTTTATGGAGCAGAGACCAGAGTAGCAGGCAGACTCCAGGAAGGGGAAGGACTTACCCACTTCCACTCTGACACAAACTCCACTGGAGACAGGCTGGAGGGCCATCTTTCCCTTCTACTCCAAGTGGAGTTTCAATTGAAATGGTGGATGCCTGAGAATGCTGTGTTCCCTGATCGCCTCCCTTGCCCAGGTTAGGGAGGAGCACTCTCCAGGACAGGACAGAGGGGCATTGATACCCTCAAGTCACACACAAATGCCTAGACAGCATGCAGCACTATTCTTCCTGCCTGCCCAGGTAGACATATCCAAGTTGGCAGGGAGGTCGTGTAAAAGAAGAAAGGAGCAAGCAGGGTAGGACTACTTACTACGTTCTGCAAGCTCATGAAACATATTAATAAGACAGTGATCCTGCCCCCTGAAGACGACAAAGAGAAACGGAAAAACATTTATTAAATCTGCAATTCCAGGAGCAACTGCTAGAATCAAGTCACAACCCTATCTAGAACCTAATCTCCTGAATTTCTTCCAGAAGATTTTTCAGGAAACCAGAAGATGTGGGAGGCCTTTCCTGCCCCTCAAGATTTAGATGAGACTGACTCAAACCCATTCTTACTTGCTCTGTGGAAATCTAAACACTTTCCCATGATTTCTATAAACTCCTAGGAGGTCAAGTTATCTTGGACCCTCTGCCTCCAGGTTGCTGCTGAATTCGATCTGTTCCTCGCAACATCCACTAAGCATTGAACTCAACCACCTGTTTATTTCTGCAACCCAAAACATATGCAGGTTTAGCATAATCTACTAAAGATTTCTTACTTATTTATTTTTTGAGACAGAGTCTCACACCCATCACCCAGGTGGGAGTGCAGTGGCGCAATCATGGCTCACTGCACCCTCGACCTCCCAGGCTCAGGCAATCTTCCTGCCTCATTTGTTGACTTTTTGTAGAGACAGGGGTTTTGAACTCCTGGGCTCAAGCAATCCTTTCACCTCAGCCTCCCAAAGTGCTAGGTGTAATCCTAGTAGTGTGGTGTGAGCCGCTATTCCTGGCCTCAACTGAAAATTTCAATGAGACAAAGATGTTTTATACCCCAAAAACACACACCTCTTCAAATGGAAGGGTAAGTAACATTATTATGACAACCTCTATGGCCCTGACATGACCAGGGAGTGTTTCAGCCCCTTCTTGCCCAGCACAGCCTCTCTGCAGATCAGTGGCCCTGGTTTCCCAATCCATCCTTCCTTCTCTCCTTCACCCTTTTCTTCTCAGAGGAGAAAAAAAACAAAAACAAAAACAAAAAACAGGTGCAGTGGCTCACACCTATAATCCCAGCACTTTGGGAGGCCAAGGCAGGAGGATCACTTGAGCCCAGGAGTTCAAGACCACCCTGGGCAACATAGCAAAAGCTTGTCTCTGTGAAAATAAATAAATAACTGAGTGTGGTGGTGGGTGCCTGTAGTCGTAGCTACTTGAGAGGCTGAGGTGAGAGGATATCTTGAGCCCAGGAGTTCAAGGCTACAGTGAGGTATGATTGCACCATTGTATTACAGCCTGAGTGACAGAGCAAGACCCTGTCTCAAAAGAAAAGAAAATCATATTCCTCTCTTTGGCCCTGCAGTTCAGTTTAGTGATCATTTTTTGTGTTCCTTCCCTTATAGTGTCATCACTCACTTCACTGCAGCCAAGTATATTTTAAAACAGACCATTCTCTCCTCAAATTTGCATGGCAACAAAGCAAAGCCAAGATTAAGGTGAGACATGGAAGGCTCTCACTGCAGGCCTAACAATTTAGCATCAAAAAACTCTAAAATCAAGATACAGAAAATTTTAATGCAGTCCTTTTGCTTGTTTGTTGGTTTGTTTGTTTGAGATAGGGCCTCACTCTGTCACGCAATCCTCCCACTTCAGCCTCCTGAGTAGCTGGGACCACCGTCACAGGCCACCACACCTGGCTAATTTTTCTTTTCAAATGTGTTGTAGAGACGGAATATCCCTATGTTGTCCAAGTTGGTCTTGAACTCCTGGACTCAAGAAATCCTCCAGCCTTAGCCTCCCAAAGTGCTGAGATTACAGGCCTGAGCCACTGTTCCTGGTCAAGGGCAATCTTTTAAAAAATAAAAATTAATGCCAAAAAAAAAAAAAAATCCATGATGGAAAAAATCAAAATTTTAAATAAAGATGGCCATGCTGTTTGTTTGTTTTACCACCCTGTGTTATTTTGCAATGGGAACAGTCATTCCCAATCAGCCCAAGCTTCCTGGGCCGTGGGACCCCTTTATCACCCCTCCCCCTGCCCTACTGACCCCTCCAGGTTTATGAAGGTTAACAATGGTATAAGAATTGGGCAATGTGGCCGGGTGCAGTGGCTCACGCCTATAATCTCAGAACTTTGGGAGGCCGAGGCGGGTGGACCACCTGAGGTCTGGAGTTCGAGACCAGCCTGGCCAACATGGTGAAACCCCATCTCTACTGAAAATACAAAAAATTAGCCAGGCGTGGTGGTGGGCGCCTGTAATCCTAGCTAGTTGGGAGGCTGAGGCAGGAGAATTGCTTGAACCTGGGGGGTTGCACTCCAGCCTGGGCAATAAGAGCAAAACTCCACCTCAAAAAAAAAAAAAAAAAGAATTGGGCAATGTTTGGCTTTACATATAGTCTGTTTGGGGGTTTTTTTGTTGTTATTGTAGAGCTTTTATTAACTTTTTCCACTTGTTTCAAAAATGAGAGGATATTCTGATCAGTATCCCTAGGGTGCACATTTTTCCTCTCACCTCAGTCTCCAGTGTGGCCATGAGGACACTGCAGTGAGGGAAGCACAACGTTTCCCTTGTGTTACTGGCGACAATGGTAAAACGCAGCGGGGAGAGGCAGCAAGACACAGTGGGCAAGAGCTCTGAGTCGAGACCAGGGCCAAGGCCTACCTCCTAAACTGCCCGCCATGTGACTTTAGGCAAGGAAGCCATCCTCTCTGAGTTCAGTGTCCTCCCCAGGAGCCCACGGGCAACAGCAATGCCTGCCCACTATAATGGCTGTGAGAATTTGATAAAATATTGATGGTCAAGCACTTGGCACATACTCAGTAACCAATAAGTGTTAGCTGTCCTTACTCTTCTATGTATCATGTAATAGTCATCATTGACAAATAGGTTGATTGTGTTTAGATGATGTATCTCCTAATCTAGTAATTTTCCCAATTAATTGATGATGTTGTCTGAAGGTGATCTTCTTAGCAGGTCAAAAAGTTTGTTTGATAGGAACAAATGGTACTTATGCATATTCTTTCTCTTCAAGGATTTGTTATCCGTCTTTTCAAGTCTATTTTGATGGACTGAGCAATTCAATCCAAGACTGCAAATTTGCAGACACTAAGCAGGAAAGCATCAACAGATACACAAAGTGCCTTGCTGCCTAATAAAAACAACCATTTACTGTGTACCTACTATGCACTCTGTGCGAGCAACTTAACAAACTCTAACCTTGCGACAGAGCAACGAAGTTTTGCAACTGACAGAAGAAACCTCAGAGAGCTAAACAATCTACCCAGTGTAACACAGTCAATATGTGGTAGAATGGAGACTTTATCGTTGCTTGCATTGGCTTGTTTATGGATTAGGAATATTTTTTTCTCTTACATAATCCTCCCTTTTTCTCAGGAATTATCATCAAGTACAGTGAAAACAATTATGTGGCCATTGTTCTTAGAGACTAGAGGGCATCTGTAGTAGTCTATCTCCTCTCTGGTGGAATTTTCTGATTACCTCTCAGGATTGAGTCTCTGAATAAAAGCAATAGAAAAATTGCTAAGAGAGGTTAAGCACATCTTCATTTTTTTTCATCAGCTAGGTTTCAAGGTAGCAAAAGTCATACCTTTTCAACAAGTCCTAGGAAAGTCAGAGCTGCTCCTGGGAGCCCATTGGGAAGAACACCAAGCTGGGAAAAATCTTTCTTGTTGTCTCAAAACTAAGAAGGAAGCTAGTGGACACAGGCAAATGAAAACATGTGAATACGCTCGGTCTGTAAATTTCTTTGCAAGCCAGGAAGTTTAAGCAAGAGGGCCTTTTGAGAGCCCAGATGTTGTCTCATGTCTCATTCTTTTTCTGCCCCTCAATCTGCTTGGAGCTTTTCTTTTTTCCTTCTAATGCTCTAACGATGATGATATTGTGCGAGATCAGCCTGGGACTGGAGACGAAAATGCACATGCAGTTATAGAAGCATGAACAGCTGAAGCATGAAACTAATACGATCAAGAAAAGTAATAGAAAAATCCTAGAGGCTGATTTAAAAAAAAAAAAAAAGACAATGCTGAATCTGAATCTCTACTGCTGGGTAAATGAGCTGGAAGGACCGTTACTGGAAAGAAAGTGATAATTATTCACACCAACTTTAGCTAGGACTGGGTTAGCTGTGGATGGCATCAGAGCAAGGAGAGGGCATGCTGCTTTGCTGTGACATTCCTTTAGTTTTCCTCACCCCCATTTCTGTGGCTTGGTCTAAAGGGATTTCTACGACCTGGTTCGAAATCTGAGATCAGATTTGGAACAGAATTCCTGCCACCTTCTGGGATGCTGCAAACCCAGCTGGAAACCCTGAGCCTCTGTGACAGCACCACATTATACTTTCCATGAGTTACATCCTCAACGCCTCCTGAGGCTGCTGGCCAAGACTGTGCACAGAGAAGCGAGGCATCTTTCCTGGGGCTGAAAGGAGTCTGTGTTAGAAAATGTAGAGCAGAGTACAGCATTCTTCCCTCCTGTGGACTCAGAAAAATAAGGCAGAGCAAATACCAGCTAGCAGCTACTTTGCATTCTGGGCAAACCCCTGCAATGTGAGACCATCAGGCTGCAAAATGGGCCCCCCAGGCAATACTGAAATCAGCAATAATATGGAGAGAAGAGGTACTACGAGGAGTGAAGCTGAGGCAGTTCCCATGGCTTTCTGTGTTGATTCCAGAAATTATTGCCAAAACATCAAGTCCAGAGTCTCAGGTGAGTGCCCCCATGTTAGTAAATCCTCCCATCCAGGCTGCTATTCCACACACTACTCCCCAGTCAGACACCCACAAGCTCCCTTCCTGCACACGTGCCCTTGGACCCCGCAATTCCTTTGGTATGTAAGCTATTTATCCCTAGAGCAGACATAGCTTGGGTTCCCAGAAAGAAGATCCCAAGTCACAGGATTTGTATGCTAGCATGTTAGTAGATAGTGCAACCCCCGGGAGCAGAAGTGAGGAACAAGTAGAGGCCAACATATTGATGCGCCATTGAACTGGCCACCACTAACTGTGACTGCTTGAGAAATCGCAGAACAGCATTTCAGGATTATACCACATGGTGGAGAAAGGTAAAGAATATATCCACTGGCTCCCATTCTCCTTTGTTAGAAGTTCACTTCTTGTGGGCTATGGAGGAGTGAGCTGCGGTGCCTGCTGCAGTGCAACTAGAAAGCCCTGGGTGGGAAGCAAGAAGGCTGATTAGAGGGCAAGGGACAAGGTGATGTCAGGTTGTACCTGGGGGAATTCGCTCAGGGTTCTGCAAAGTTGGAACAAGAGACAGGTGAGGCTGAGAAAATGCGAACAAGTGCACAAAAGGTGTCCGATACAATGAGTTTTATTTTTCTCTCTATTTTTTTTTTTTTTGAGACAGAGTCTTGCTCTGTCAGCTGGGCTGGAGTGCAATGGCACGATCTCAGCTCACTGCAACCTCCGTCTCCTGGGCTCAAGCAATTCTCCTGCCTCAGCCTCCCAAGTAGCTGGGACTACAGGCATGCATCAACACGCCCAGCTAATTTTTGTATTTTTAGTGGAGACGGGGTTTCACCATGTTGGCCAGGCTGGTCTTGAACTCCTGACCTCAGGTGATCTGCCTGCCTCGGTCTCCCAAAGTGTTGGGATTACAGGCATGAGCCACTGCACCCGGCCCTACAGTGAGTTTTCTAAGCTTTGGGAAAAAAATAGAAAAGCAGACTAACACCTAATGGTTTGGAGGGTAGCATCAAAACCTCTGGGTAATGATAAAATCAGAGCTGGAAAGTTAATGGGACATAAACAGAGAAACTGTAGTGTTCACAACCATGTGAAAAAGAACTAGTCTTCTTTTGGGTACACCAAAAGAATAAAAAATATAAATTGTTCACCACCATATGAAATGTTCATTTTTATGTGATCATCCACTACCCTGTGATTAGCGTCAATCCAGTCTATCAACAAATATGAAATTTGCTGGCATACTCTTGATGACTTTTGGCAATTCCTTTATTCCCCTTGGCATGGCATTGAGTTCTTAAATAAAACAAACTGTAGGGTTTGGATGGTGCTATAATTTTCTGTTATATTTGTGGGAAGGTGCCTAAAGGCAAACACGGTGAAAAGGTGAGAGGGAGGGGAATATAATATAACAGTTTACTAATGCAATCCTCTCCACCCACTTCTCTAACATTAGTTATTCCCTAGACCAACACTCAGCAAACTAAAGCTCACAGGCCAAATCTTGCCACCACCTATTTTGTAAATAAAGTTTTATTGGATCACAGCCATGCTCATTCATTTCAGTATTGTCTGTGGCTGCTTTCCTCAGTAAAATGGCAGAGTTGAGTAGTTGCAACAGAGACCATACAGCCCACAAATCCTAAAATGTTTACTACCTGGCACTATTCAGAAAAAGCTTGCTAACCCCTGGCCTAGACCAAACCCCTTGGTGAGATTTCTCTTACAGGTAGTATCTCCACTTTAGCAGTAAGCCAAGGCTAGTAGCTGATCCCTCGGCCAACAAAAAGAAAGTTCCATTAACTAATCACCATTATGTTGAAACCCAGCTACTCTTCTTTCCGTTTGAAACCCAGGTACTTCTTTCCATTTCCAAAAGCTGTAACTCTGACACCACAGAGAACAGAGATTCATTAGTGAAAACAACCACACAAGAGAGGTGGTGGCTTCCCCCTCCTCTTACTAAGAACACAATTCTAAGAATCTTCAGTCCAGGCCCATGTTTAAAAAGCTACTTTACACACTTGGCCCTGATTAAACTCACATCATACCTGAGCAATCCCAGTAACTGTGATAATATAAGATAGGTGCTGGGGAAGAAAGGATCTCTTTCTAACAGACTAAACAAATAAACAGGCTTGCACTGCATCTGCCAAAAGCTCAAGAACCTGTACGTATATAATCCTCTATGACAGTGACCCCAATTCTGCTAGCTAACTTCCTCCCTGCGTGCAGTTTAGGTGCTTTGATGAATAAACCAACTCCTTCAAGGCACCAGTAGCGTTTCGCAGCAAATAATGTTTTGCTATATTTTTATGTGATTCCAACTCAACTTCTACAAGAAGGAAAGCAAGATATTCCTTTGGCAAAGAATGAAATATAAGGAGATGAAATTCTGCCAGATCATAAAATCACAGAATGTTAATTTGCTGATTCATTAACGGGCATAATTAATCTCATAACTTACTAAACTATAACGCAAATACAGAAGAATTCACCATTTTGAACATTCAGCTGCATCATGAGCCCAACTGCATCCCCATAAACACAACAATAGATAGAAAAATCCTCAAAAATCACCCGTAGCCTGTAGCGCTACTCACTTGGGCATGGTAATGACATTCTGACTGGCTTCTCTGCTTTCAATTTTCTTCCCCTCCAATTCCATACACATTTCTGCCATGGTTTGCTTCTAAAACATACACCAGAGAATTTCAGTTCTCCTGCTTAAAAATTTTGCAGTGACTCCCTCTCTGTTACCTTTGGACACAGTCCAGGTTCCTGTGGAAATGAGGCTCTTCACAATAAGAGCCAAACCTAAACCACCAGCCTCATCTCGATCTTTTCCTGACTCCACAAATGCAGGACATAGCTTGATTGCAATCAAGTGTGGTCCCTGCCCTGGGTGATGACACACTATCCTTTGCTTGGTACATAATCATGGTCAGTACCTTCTCCTGAACAGCTAGCACTCTGACCACAAAGTATGAATGGAACCTTAATTGTGTTAAGGAGTTATTTAAAGCCATCATAAGGTCCATCTTGCAGTTGGTTCCTCAAAAAGACCCAATGGACTAGACCAAGGAAGCAAGTCCAGTGCTGCCTTCCCGGTGACGCTAGATCACACAGTCTTCCAGGTGGCCTTTTTTCCCTGCTGTGACTGGCAGGACCCCATTCACACAGTGTTCCCAGGCACTTTCCTTTGAGGATATGGTCTGATGGGGCTCAGTCTTGGTATCTCTCTATCTCTCTTTCTTTCTCTCTCTCTCTCTTTCTATTTCACGTAGAGAAATAGAGGCATCTGAGTGGGCCAGAGGATCTGCAAGGAATCAGTAGGGCATTCAACAACATTCATTTATTCATTGAACGAACATTTTAAAGCATTTACTGTGTGTCAGACTCTGCACCAATATGAGTGTATAAGACAAGTATTCACTACTGTATGTATACCATGTATGTGCACAGTGAATGAATTCATGCCATCAGGATGTTCACAGTCCTCTGATGAGCAGCTCTTGCCTAATTTGTCAACATTTGTGTTGCTTCCCCAGCTTTCACATGTGTCCTGGATGCTTCAGGGCAAAACGCCAAATATCCATTGCCTAGGGATATCCAAGTCATCACATGGGTATGTGGGCCAATCAAAGATAAGAAAGGCTCACTGGACTTTAAGCTCCATGAGGCAGGCCCCATTATGCCACAGCAAAGAGCACAAAAGCACAGGCAATTATAGTCAATTCTAAAGTAGCACTGCCCAAATTTCTGCCACAAATGCTGTTCTGCCATTTGCGTCTCAAGAGGAATGCCGCAAAGACAATATACCTGCTACTCTAAGTGGCTCCTCATTTTGAGAGCTTTAGAAACTGGGGCGCATCACTGGAATCCACAAAGAGAAAAGACCAATGACTTTTCTTAAATGTGTTGGTCATCTAACTCTAAGTTTGCACGTGGCAGGACCAAGTGGTGGGGTTGTCCATCAGGTAACATGCAGGCATCCCAGGCAACCCTTACTCAGAGATGCCCACCCAGGTGGTATGTTTGAAGGGTTATGGGATATGTTTATATATATATATTATATATGTTTATATATATATAAAATATATATTCATATATAATATATATAACGTTATATAATATATATAACGTTATATATAATATATATAACGTTATATATATTTATATACATAATACATAAATATACATAAATAAATGAACATACCTCTACCCCTTGCCTGTGCTGATGCTTGGTAACCCGATGCATTGGTATTCATGCCTGCCAACTGTTTTTGGTCTCTAAATATATATACATCTGTATCTTCCTAAGAGAAAAACATTAAGACTCTAACATCTTGTGGTAAACTGCTTTTTATCAGAGGTCTAAACGCTAAGAAGAGGAAAGCAGAACCATGTGTAAAATAGACTAGAGGGGTGCAAGTGTGCCCCTGTGCCCACCTCTTTCCCTCACTGACAACCAGTCACCAAGAGCTGCCTGCTTCTCCTTCACATGAGCTAATCCTGCTTTCCCTGTTCCTTCCTGTGTGCTTCGCAAAGTCCTTTAGATCTCTCCTATGGATAAGTGTGACACCTGCAATCTTAGATCACCAGTTAACTGCAAGCCTTGCTACTGGATTAATGTTCCTAAATGCCAGTGGGATCATACTGCTCTCCCTACCCAGAAGCCTTCAAGCTCCCCACAGCCTTCAGCCTAGAAGCCTCACCCAGTGTTGAAGGCCTCCATAACCTGGCCCTAAGCTTACTTCTCTAGTACAAACCCCCTTGCTGTCAAACCAGTTTCCTCACTGTTACCCAACAGGCCATGTCCATTCCCAGCATGGGCCTTTTAAGATTTCTTCTCCCTTTCTCAACATTCATCAGAATCCCTAAATCACTCAAAACCTACCCACAGTACTATTGTCAAGAGGCCTTCCCTGCATGCTTCAATCAATATGAAGTGATCTCTTCCTCCCAGAGCATCAGCTTTGCACTGGCCCACTCATTACAGACAGCTGTCCTGCTGGTGAGATTCTCACATGAAGCTGTCTCATCTTTTATTTAAATAGCAACCTTTTTCTGAATGCAGGAGCCAGGTGTTATCATTTTCATACTTAGCATCTAAAATGTTGCCGTGTTGGCATCCTTGAGAAAACAGGAATATCTGTAAGTCTCACAGAAAGATCGAAGAATCCAGGCTATCACTATTAAAAGGAAATAGACGGTGGGGTCTGAGTCCACACAGAGCTTCCTTGGTCAACCCTGCCAGCAACTTCTGGAAGACTTCTAGCTGAGCATAGCCAGAGAACTAAATCCCACCTGCCAGGCTCCTCCTAATGAAACCAGCCCAAATGTTCCATAGAACTGGTGCTAAAAGGTTTGGGGTTAAACAGAGAAATTGATCCTCTGTAAGCCTGAAACTTAAATTTGTCTTATCTGAGATCCTTCCTCAGGAACTCCACCCTCAGGCCTTCCAGATAGGATCAAGGAACTGAAACTCACCAGATCACCACATCCAGACAACAAGATGCCAGACCCCTCATCCATTATGATTCCTGTTTACAATCTCCTCTTCCCTACTGCTCCCTAATTCCTGTTTTTCCACATGTACTTACATTTATTTCCTTCTATATAAGCCCCTAATTTTAGTTGGTTGGAGAGACGGATTTGAGACTCATCTCCTGTTCTCCTTGGCTGCAGCACCAAAATACAGCCTTCTTCCCTGTCTCAGTGATTGGCTTTCTGTGCAGTGAGCAACAGGACCTAGAGTGAAACCCTGGGTTTCAGTAACACTAATGGTGCACATAGCAAAAAGAGCCCGAGCTTTAGGATGCACCCCTTCATGCTAGGCTCCACCCACTCAAAGAAGTCAGGCCTCTGGCTCATATTTACTGAAGGGAGACAAGCCACTGAGGAGATGCAAATTCACATAAAGGTATTGAATTAAGTGTCTATACAAGCACATTTCCTTCCACATAAAGTGATGGTCCCCTACCCCCACGCTCCCTTACTGGAGCCTCCATGGTACTTGAATCTTGGGATAGAAGACGCTCCATAGGCTCTTTTCCTTTCGTGACAAAAAAATAATAAACTTTGCACATCAACTAAAAATTTCTCAAAGCCAAACCTCATTATGCCTAAACTCCATGAATTATTCATCTACTTCAAGTGAGGGAGATCAGATTTAATTTTTATGTTCTGAGCGGGGCACCTTCCCTAGAATTAAACGGAAAATATCCTCATTTGTCAACTGAGCTGTTTTAAGAACAGGTTGTCATAGGCTTTCTCCATAACAGTATATCCTGAGAAACAAAGCAGGGCTCACTGATCAGCATAAGGGAAAAAATATGAAACCAGAGAGTCCTTTCCATACCCACATGGAGCTTGTTTCTAAATTAAAACCAGGCAAGAATGACACCTATACCAATACGTGCATACCCTAATAAATTAGCTGCACCCAATTATTAAGAAGGCAGCCTTAGGTCATAAAAACGATTTTGTGAAATTGATCTTAAATGAAAAATGTGTAATTACACTCAAAGCAGTTACAGGCCACTAGTCAATGAAAAATTTATATTTTCCGTGGAGTTGTATCGCTTTCTGTGAATATAAAATTAGTTCGACTGGTGGAACTTACATTACTATCAGAAGTGATTCGAGAGACAGAAACATTTTTCAGTATATGCCTTTAAAGGATCCCACAATCTGGCCAGCTATGCGCCCAATGTGCACATTATAATTTTATTGCTTTTGGCCAAAAGCCACTGTAAGACCAAAATTCTGCGTAACATTCACAACATTTTTTAAAGCCATGAATGCATTTTTTTTCCATATTCCTTTTGTTATTCTTTCTCCTTAGGATCTGAAAGACCTAGTTTTTAGTAAAAGCAAAAATGTACTGGAGGAATGGGGACATAGAGATGAAAAATCATGGGATTCATCCTTGATTCATCTCTTACCTTATCCCCACACCCCACTCATCATCAACTTCTGTAGGTTTCATCTCCAAATTTATCTCAAAACCATACACTTCTCTCCGTGTTCACTGCTGACACCCTGGCCGAAGCTCCTGTGACCTTAACCTCTTAACTGGCCTTTTCCCCTCAGCTCTTTATTTTATTTTATTGACACATAATAGATGTACATATATTCAAGGTATATGTGATAAGTCAATATAGTCATATAATTTGTAAAGATCAAATCCATGTAGTTGGGATATCCATCCTCTTAAATATTTGTCCTTTATGCTAGAAACATTCAAATTATTATTCAAATTATTCTCTTCAAGCTACTTTGAAATAGATAATAGATTATTGTGAACTATAGCACCCTACTGCTCTACCAAACACTAGGTCTTATTTCTTCTACCAAACTCTATATTGGCACCTGTTAATGAACTCCTCTTCATCTCCCCTTCCCTACTTTTCTTCTTCTCTTGATCCCTCCAATTCATTCTTCCCACAGTAGGCTAAGAGATCTTTTTGAAAACTCAATCAGATCCTATCACTGCTCTGCTTCAGACCTTTCAAAGGCATCTGTTACCCTTTAAATAAAACCCAAACTCCTTCTGTGCCACAAGAGGCCTTGCTTGATCCAGCCACTGGCCCCTTCCTCAATCTCTCCTCTTTCTACCCTTGCCCTCCCTCCCTCTCCATGGACCATTACACTGGTCTCCTTTCCATTCTTGAAGCTCTTCTACCTCCAGGGCCTTGTGCTTGCTAATCCTTTCCTTTAAAATGTTCTTCCCCCAACTCATGGCATCTCAGCCCCCCGGCTTATTGCCTGTAGAATCATCATTTTATTAATTTGTTACTTGTTGTGATCTGTTTTAGCCTTCAGTGAGTGCAAAACAAATGAGTGAATAAAATAACATATTTAAGAAATGGTAAATTCATGAAGAAATATTTTCATAAATAAGCAAATGGCTTAAGGGAAGTTCAGGTTTAAGGTTACAACTTTCTGCCCAAATAGAATCTTCCCCTTTCATAGCTATACTTCTACTTTTAAATTGCACTAAAAATTACATTATGTTAGCAATTTTTTGTTTCTTATCTGCTTAAAGACGCTACTAAAGAGAAAATTTATACTACTAATAAACACATGCAATTTTGTGGCCTCTTTTATAGTGAGCATTTCAAAATTTAAATTACACATTAATTTCATTAGTGATAGCCATTTAAGAAGCTAATCTAGCCCAGGCACAGTGACTGATGCCTGTAATCCCAGCACTTTGGGAGGCCAAGACAGGTGGATCACCTGAGGTCAGGTATTCGAGACCAGCCTGACCAACATGGTAAAATCTGGTCTCTACTAAAAATACAAAAATTAACCGGGCGTGGTGGCAGGCACCTGTAATCCCAGCTACTCTGGAGGCTGAGACGGGAGAATAGCTTGAACCCAGGAGGCGGATGTTGCAGTGAGCCGATATCACGCCACTGCACTCCAGCCTGGGTGACAGAGTGAGACTCCATCTCAAAACAACAACAACAAAACTAATCTGTCTTATCTTTTGGTTATCCTTTGGTAACTGTATATGACTTGAAAATATTTTCATTAGATAAATATTAAATATTATTCCCAATATTATAGAATGGAATCAAGCAATTTTCCCACAATACCTACCAACTAACTATATGTAGGTTTAGCAACTGGGGAGATACAAAGAAGTAGAAAATAGAATTGTACCTGTAATGGATCTCTCAATCTATTTTGAAGATAAAACAAAGAGGAGAGGAAGATGAATGAAGGAAAGAGTAGGGATTCAAGAGAGAAAGAGAACATCTGGAGAGGGAGTGGTCTGGGCAGAATGGGAAGGCCTCAGATAGTCAAGGAGAGCAGGAAACATTCCAAGGAAGAGAAAAAGGTGACCACAGGTACCAAACACCCATGGAGAGCTGTAAGTAACTTAGCGCAACTGGACTAGAATTAAAACTGTAGAGCAATTGGAAGTCAAGAGAAGTTCAAGAGTATTTTGGAGGCTGGGTGCGGTGTCTCACGCCTATAATTCCAGCACTTTGGGAGGCCGAGGTGGGCAAACCGCCTAAAATCAGGAGTTCCAGCCTAGCCTGGCCAACATGGTGAAACCCTGTCTCTACTAAAAATACAAAAATTAGCCAGGCGTGGTGGTGGGTGCCTGTAGTCCCAGCTACTCGGGAGGCTGAAGCAGGAGAATTGCTTGAACCCCAGAGGCAGAGGTTGCAGTGAGCCGAGATCGTGCCACTGCACTACAGCCTGGGTGACAGAGTGAGGCTCCATCTCAATAAATAAATACATAAATAAATAAATAAATATTTTGGGATGAAAAGTCAGATTTAGCTGGCAGCAACTTACCATGTTTGGGCCCTAGAATATTGAATATGAAGGATTTTGGCAAATGAGTAGATTAATAGACAATTTTAGGACCTACATATTTAAGAATATGTCTGTAAATCACACAATCAAATCAGTACTCAAAATAAATGCATTGTTTTTTAGCCTTCAAGTCAACTACATATAGTTTCAAAACTTTAATTGGGGAAAATAAGAATTTTAGAAACCTGGCATGAAGCTTTTTTCACAAAGAAGGAAAGAAGTAGCCCAGAGAACACTCGAAAATCAGATTGTAAAATAATGACCACTGTGGCCATTATAATGTTAGTGTGCCCCTAAAGTTTGCATGTTGAAATTCTAACCCCCAAACTGAGGGTATCAGGAGGTGGGTCCTTTGGGAAATGATTGGGTCTTGAGAGGAGAGCTCTCATGAATGGGATTAGTGCCCTTACAAAAGAGGCCTGAGAAAGAATCTTTGTCCTTTCCACCATGTGCAGACACAGCAAAAAGGTGCAATCTATGAACCAGAAAGTGGGCCCTCACAAGACACTGAATCTGCTGGTGTCTTGACCTTGGACTTTCCAGCCTCTAGAACTGCAAGAAATAAATTTCTGTTGTTTATGAGTTACCGGTTTATGGTATTTTGTTCTAGCCACTGTAACAGACTAAGACAATGACCATATATGATTGAGTTGTAAAATAAACATCCATCCATGTATATACATCATTTATTAACATGTCATTTTTTAATGTAATTTAAATTATTAAGCTTTCAAAAAAACCCTGTGAACCTGGTTTCTCAAATACGAATGAGGAATTGGGTGACATGTTCAAGGTTACAAAAACAATGTTAACAAATAGCTAGGACAAGGACTTTCAAAATTCTAGCGACTTGCTTCAATCTCTGGACCCTTTTACAAACAGTTGCTAAAATCAGTGGTAGTTATTACATGAGCATGGAGACAAGATTATGGTAGTATAACCATTAGAAGAACATACTAGCTAAAGATAAAGGCTAGGAACATTCATAAGGATAGGAATCCAAACCACCTGTCTGACATAGGCTCTTGGGTAGATTTACACCTGTTCCATATCTTGTAACCATCCAACTTAGTATTTTGTAACCAAAAGAAACATGTCCTTGCTAGATTATTTGTAATATGTCCCCTTAAGACATCAAGACTGCAAAATGTTAATGTTATCTCCTGTGGAATGTAACCATTAATCTCAAATATGATAATTAGTTGTGATGGGAAACTGTATTCAATCTGGTGTCTATACCGTCACGAAAAATTCCTTCATTCCTTTGTTAGTAGGAAGAGCCGCAAGTCTGTGTGTCTGACTCATTTTCTTTAGGGCCTAGTTGAATTAAAGAAATCAGTGGCTCTGATGCCTCACTTTTCAATAATGGCACATGAAAAATTTTACTTTTTGTCAGTTCACACACACACACATAGAAAGATAACACAGATCATCAGAGCAGAAAGTACCAGAGGGAATGAGCTAACTTCAGATACACAACTTGCACTCTTCCAGTTCAATCTCAGCTCTTTGCCCGCCCTGGTACCCTATTTGCCAGAATAAGCAGATGCAAACATATATAACATACACCCTACTTTTACAAAGAAATTGTTCTTGGAAAAAACATCCAAGTACTTTTCAACATAGTATATTTTAAAATACATTAAAGTGATTTTACCAGGGAAAAACACTTTGTGAAAATACAGTATATTTTATACTAAAATACTAACCTAGGTTGGGAGGTGGTAAAATAAACAGTCAAAGGAGATTTAGTGGTATCAGGACATGGTTAGGGTTGCACTAGCAACATGTTTAAATTGAAGTTGTCAGTGGAATATTCAGACAACTTTGATCAGCTGTGCGACTCTGAGGGTTGTTGCTTTTGCTGGGAGCGCAGATTCGATGTGAAAATTCTATCTTCTGCTGCAATGTTTTTGTAAGATGGAGACATTGGACACAGGATAACTTTTAGCTTCTGTGGAGGTGGGGCGGGGATAGCGCTCTCTTGCACTGGCAAATAGGAGGCACTACATGGAACGAAGACCGCCCCCCTCCCTTTTCCTGACAGAGCCAAGGAAGAACAATTGAAACTTGGATAAAGCACCCAAAGAAAAGCAACCTGTCAACTCCTGGACCGCTCTTCTCTGTTTCTTTGTTCTACATTCACCTCTCACTTACACATGTCAATGGAGAGAACTGGGGGATGGGGAGCTGCAGATCAAATGACTTTTTTTTGGCTTATCTTCACGAATCCAGTAGGAATCAGACGGCAGGTTTGATGCAAAGCAACAGCAGTGGGCAGATTCTTTTACTGTCACCAGTTTATAGTTCAGAGATGACCTTCCCAAGGACACAGAGCTAGTGATCGTGGAAGCAGAGCTAGAATCTCGTCCCCTCTGGCTCTAAAGTCTGGGCTTGCTGCGTGGGCAGGAAAGAACAAACCCATCGAAAGCTGCCACCTGCCTCCCCTCACCTTGGGCTCCCAAACTTTTCAGCGTGCCACAAACTACACAAGACATTTCATGACCTATGCTCCAGAACACTTAACACACTATGTTGTTTTCTAAAATGGCTATGAACTTGAAAAACAAATGGAGCACGTAGTCCTTGAACATAAATTTATTTAACCTCTGCATGGCCCAGTAAAGATATTTGTTTCATGAAAACCAGAATAAGATGACATCCTTGCCAACTGATTTGAAATTGCTCCCTTCTTTCTGATAGTTTTCCTACCTTCAGGCTTTCCAGTTCACAATACCCAGGTCTCCTCCCACCACCCTCAAATGTTACTTCTTTGCATCCTGCTTAACTTGGGTGCCTGTCTTACTTCTTTGAAAATGCTTGAACAGTTACTCCTCTCCTCTTGAAGGACCTACTATGCATCTTGTCAAATGGGCCGAGTGCCTTTAATTCAGAGTGGACATTTAGTACCTTTCTGGGACTTTTCAAGTTGTATTTTTTTTCTAATTGTACTGGATCATGTGTTGTCCTCTCTCACGTAAAGGTAAGCTTTGGAAAAATTCATTCTTCTGTATCTTGTAATCCCATGTTCCCAGATACTTTCACTTCCTATCCAATACCATGTTTACCATAAATCCCCTTAACTATGAATAATGCATCTACACTCCAATCTGTCTACAGCCTCATTTGATCTGCCCTGAGGCTGTGTCAGCCCACAATATGCTTTCTGAATTATCTAAGACTAAAGCATATTCATTATTGTGTAATTTATTGCCTAATCAATACAACAAACAAAAATCCAAACAGTTAATTTGAGCTTTTTCCAATAGGTATCTATAGGGTATATTAAAACATTAAATTACAAAAATAAAAATTAAAAATTGTGACTTTAGAGTTTAGCATACTTTAGTCAATTTTACTAATATACCTCATATAGTATATGCTTACCCAATGTTGGACTAACCGGAACATATTCTGTCCCAACCAGGCCCAATAATAATGTATGAGACTACATAGTCAGTTTTCTAAAAATGTGCTATGCAAGCACATGCACGGTAAATATTTTTTGAATGATCTTCATAGCTATCCTATAATGTCCTATGAATCATATTATCTAAATCATAAGTTATATTTTAAGTATGCCTCTCATCTATCCTTCCTGAACTGTATCTTCTGGAGAGCAGGGAACATCGTCTCCTAATTCTTGCTATCCCTCTCAACCACCTCTGCCATTTAATATTGCCTTGAATTCAGTCTAATGAATCCTTCTTTCTAGACAAGTGAGGGTGCAGGGGACAAGGATCAGGCCAGGTGGGAGGACCTGGGAGCCTGGGCACCTAGAGGTCTAGCCCTTCCCCATAGACTAATATTGTCAGAGGCAGCAGCATTGTGGGAAAGAGCCAAACCAAAGCTCAAACAGAGCATGCACACAAGCAACCATCCAGGGCTGGAGCCAAAGCATCTGAATGCAAAGCAGTGGGACCATCTAAGAGTTAAGGTCCTAAGGGTCCAGTGCAGAGAAACATGCCTGGAAAAATCTGCACCTCAGAAAGCCACTGCTGTGCCTTTTTACACAGTGCCAGTAGCTTTAGCTACAGAGGAAGCCAAGAAAGCCACCAACCTGACCAGGATGATTTTCCCTCATTGAATGGGATGAAAAGAGGGAAAGAAGGCAAAACCTTAGATACAATTAACTTCTTGCTTCTATATATTATACTTTGTAATAAATAATAATGAATAATTCACATGCTTCTGCTTAGTTGGATTGGGGAAGAAAAATAAACTCCATCACAGTTCTTTTGCCAGGTTCTCCTGGACTAAGTGGAAAGTGGAATTTCAGACGGTTGACATTATTCATGTACAAGCTTCTTGATGGACATCCTTAATGTGGTCCACAGTGGAAGAAAATGACCAAAAGTGATAAGGCCCCTCAAGCGATTCCTTTTAAGGAAATGTCTTCCGCCTGGTAGGAGGGGAGTAAGGGACCAGCAAAGCTATACCAGTTATTTAAATTCGGGCTTCCTAATAAGGAACCTCCAGTTTATGAGCTTAGGGTGGTTCCTTAGCTGACATGCATTGTCACTGGCAACCTTGTACACTCCACTGACACCCTCAGCAGAGCTCATAGCTTACTTCATATGCAACAGCAGGGACCCAGGACTCCCAGCACTTGGGATACCCACAATATTCCCCCTAATAAGCTTAGGCCTTTCTTCAGCTTCCAAATTAGTTCCTCTAAGACACAGAGAGAAAAGCTATTGAGAAGGGAGATGTTCCTGCCATTTCTTTTGCACAGGGTATAGTGATTTGGGCTTATTGCTTAAGTCATTAATTTCCCATCATTTTCCAATGAGACTCTCATTTCATTAAAGGCAATAATATTTGACAATCTATTACTATCCCTTATGCCCTGAATTATTATTGCTATATTTTAACATAGAATATAAAAATAATATACACACTGCCAAAGATCATCAACTCAAAGTAAGCAGTTCAAGAATTTTATTATCCAATGAAATATTCTCTAGGGAGCTGTATTTCCCATCTTGGGCATTCCAGCATTCTCCAAGTGTCCAAAAGAGGGATATTAGCATGTTCTAAAGCTCATCTGCATTACGGTTATTTGAAATAGACAGACTGCACTGCTGGACCAAGTAAGACTCTTTTTTTTTTTTTTTTTTTTTTTTTTTTTTTTTTGAGACGGAGTCTAGCTCTGTCGCCCAGGCTGGAGTGCAGTGGCGCGATCTCGGCTCACTGCAAGCTCCGCCTCCCGGGTTCACGCCATTCTCCTGCCTCAGCCTCCCGAGTAGCTGGGACTACAGGCGCCCGCTACCACGCCCGGCTAATTTTTTGTATTTTTAGTAGAGACGGGGTTTCACCGTGTTAGCCAGGATGGTCTCGATCTCCTGACCTCGTGATCCGCCCACCTCGGCCTCCCAAAGTGCTGGGATTACAGGCGTGAGCCACCGCGCCCGGCCGTAAGACTCTTAAAGCTCCTCCAAAGCAGAGAGGAGAACATGTTTTTTTTCTGAGACCCTGATGGACTCTGCTAGATAGAGCCCTCAACTGAGGGTCTTAAACCAGCAAAGAATAAATTAATTTTATTGTTTGGGATAGTGAGATCAGGAGAGGAGAAAAGTAAACGCAACTTACTGTAGGATCTTGGGCAAGCTACTTACATTTGCTAAACCTATTTTCCCACCTTTGAAATAGTAAGAATTATAGCACCAAATTCAAAGCACTTCCCCCAATATTTGGTACATAGTTTAAGGCTTAATAAACATTAGTTGCTATTATTGACTTATTATTATTTCCTTGGGAAAGCAGCACTACATGAGATTAAAAACATACATTAAGGATCAATCTTATTGAATCTTGAATACCATGTTAAGAAATGTGGACTTCAGTTGGCAAGAAAGGAGTCAGAAAAGATTATGTTAACAGGAATGACATGATCATATCTGAGCTTTAGGAAACAAAAAATTAAATCTAGATAGATATAAATATGGATAGAAATAAAGATTTAAAATTTTTTAATTTCCATTTTGTCCATCTCTCAAAATGGCACAGAACTATTAGCACACTTCCTTCTTGGACATAATTAACACTTTACCTTAAGTACTACAAAACGCGTATACTGCCAGTTTGTATTTTCTGATGATATAATGACAACAGCTCAACTAGGTAGTCATTATCAGGCAGCCTTTTAATCAATAATCTCCTGTAATAGGCATTAGCATAATATTAAAGATTCTTAATAGTCAAGTGGCTGTCAGCCTTGATTTGCAGTGCAAACCTTGAAATGCAAGTCACTTCAGCTGGAAAAGTTATCTTAGGACACCTAAATGTATAGTCTGAAGGAAAAAAACAGATTTGAAATAAATTTTTAGAATGTTAATTTAAAATATTACATGAACTGTTTTTTATAAAGAGAAATCCTTGACATTTTTTAACCTCTCAAATTGGCAAAGATTTATAACAAGATAATACCCAGCATTGGAGAGGACACAGAGAAATGATTGAAACTGCCTTTGCAAAATTATGACTGAGACAGTAAAAGAGATCTAATTTAAATGACTCCATCTTGCTTCTAACCTCCAAGCTGTCCTTGTTCATTCCTGGGTGTAGGCTGAACTAACTTTGGGAGAAATTTATAGTTTATAGTTTAAAACAAAGAAGATAACAGCCTTTTCTCAAAGCAGACCTCCTTCTTGCCTGGGAACTAGATTGCCTTTACAGGAGTAACATTAGCCACAAGTTTAGAAATTATAGTTTAGGAGGCATGTAGCTGGAGGCTACAAGATTCTGACCCTCCCTAAACTGCTCCTACGATGAGTGCTTCAGATATTTTGCAGACCCAGGACTTGATGGATCAGCTGGCACCACCCAGATCAATAAACTTGCTCGTCTGATCTTGTGGCCCCCACCCAGGAACTGAGTAAGTGCAAAAAGACAGCTCTGACTCCCTATGATTTCATCTCTGACCTATCAGCACTCCCTACTCACTGGCTTCCCCAATCCACCAAGTTGTCCTTAAAAACTCTGCTCCCCAAATGCTCAGGGAGACTGATTGGACTAATAATAAAACTCTGACACCACCTTTGTAGAGGGTAATTTACTAATATGTATTAAAGATTTTTAGGTGTATAACATTTAGCCCAATAATTCTACTTTTTAAGAATTTTTCCTCAGTAAATAATTGTAAATAGACCATAGATTTAGCTACCAGGATGTTAATCTCAGCATTCATTCTAATAGCAAACATTTGGAATTATCTAATATTTATCTAGAAATAATAGTGATACAGCTCCAATGACTGGAGGAACACTAGGGTCCTTGGTCTCGCGACAATTAGATAAACGACACGAACACGTGTGGAGCGGTTTTAAGGAGCGAAGAGTTTAATCGGCAAGAAAGAAGGAAAAAAAGCTCCCCTGTACAAAGACAGAGGGAGAGGGGCTCCAAGTGGAGAGAGAAAACCCCTGTGTGCAGCAGAAAAGTAGTTGGTTACTTTGGGAGGCTGGAGGAGGTGGTGTCTGATTTGCATAGGGCCCAGGGGATTGGTTTGACCAAGTGTGTCATTTACATAGCTGGCGAAAAACCTGGCCTTCCTACCCTAGCCTTTTAATATGCAAATGCGGATCACCATGATGTCCTGTACACATGGTATTATCTGGAGGTGGCCATGACACTTGGCACAGGTGGTGACAAGGAGAAGAGGGCAGGAATTGCCATGTTGGATGGACCCAGTTTCTAATCACTGGCATTTGCATATCAAAGCTTGCCAACCTGGCTCTTCAAGCCACCTTCCTGTTAGAAAAGAAATGTTTTGGGGGTTGCTTTTTATTAAAGGAAAATTCCACTGAGAACCTTTACACTTTCTAGCTTCCTAAAAAATATTTCTTAATAACTCCTGTATTAATAGGATAAACAAAACTACAGCCCACAGACCAAACCTGACCCCATCACCTTTTTTCATTCAACCTGCAAGCTAATAGTCATTTCTACATTTTTAAATGGTTGAAAGAAATCAAAAGAAAACAGTTTTGTTACTCATGAGAAGTATATGAAATTCAAATTTTAGTGTCCATAAAGAAAGTTTTACTGAAACACAGCCACTTCCTACTCATTGACATATTGTCTATGGCTGATTTCAAGATATAATAGCAGAGGTGGGTAGATGCAACAGCTTGTATGTCCCCAAAGCCTAACATATTCACTATCTCACCTTTACATGAAAAGTTTGCCAAACTCTGGGTTAATTAAACCATGATCTAATCATAACATAAATTAATGTAGCCATTCAAAATTATATAGAAGATTATTTACTACTTTGCAAGAATGTTTAATGAATTAAATGAAATAGATTATACCACAATGTATCAAGTTATGACCACATTTTATTACTTTTAATAATATATAAAATAGGAAAAAAGATGAAGTATATGCAACAAAGTATTAATAGTTTTTATCTCTGGGTGATGAGATTGCAGGATTTTTTTTGGTAACAACCATACTGCTTACATTTTCTAAAAGAACGTATCGTTTCATATTAATAAAATTGCGTTGTATCAGACAGAGTCTAAAATAGCCCCCAATTGTCTTCACCTCTTTCTAGTCACATCTTGTGTAATATCATCTCTTTGAGTGTAGTCATGACCTTTGACTTGCTCTAAACAATAATTGGATATGGCAAAGGTGACGGGTTGTTATTTCCATGATTACATTACAAAATAGTGACTTTCATCTTGCTAGCAGACTCTCTATTGCTTTCTCACCTTGTGCGCTTTAAAAAAGCAAGCAGCCACATTAGGGGCAACTATGTGGCAAGAAATGGAGTGTGACCTCAGGCCAACAGCTAAGTAAGATTGAAAGCCAACAGCCAGCAAGAAACTGAGGCCCTCAGTCCAACAGGCCGCAAGGAACTAAATCTTGCCAACAACCATAGGAACTTGGAAGCAGGTCTTTCTTTGGTCAAGCCATCAGATGAGATCCTAGCCCTAGCCAGCACCTTGATCGCAAACTCATGACAGACCCCAAAGCAGATCTGACTAATCCATACCCAGATTCCCAATCCACAGAAAGTGTGAGAAAATGAATGTTTGTGTACTTTAAGCCACTATATCTGTGGTAATTTGTTATGCAGCAATAGATAACTGATACAAATATAAAATACTGGGCTGGGCGCGGTGACTCATGCCTGTAATCCCAGCAGTTTGGGAGGCCGAGGTGAGTGGATCACCTGAGGTCAGGAGTTTGAGACCAGCCTGACCAGCATGCTGAAATCCCATCTCTACTAAAAATACAAAAATTAGCCGGCTGTGGTGGCAGGCACCTGTAATCCAAGCTACTCTAGAGGCTGAGACAGGAGAACAGCTGGAACTCAGGAGGCGGAGGATGCAGTGAGCCTATATCACGCTGCTGCACTCCAGCCTGGGCAACAAAGAGTGAAACTCCATCTCAAAAAAAATACATACATATATATACACACACACACACACACACACACACACACACACACACACACACGCATATATATTAATTTAAAAAAACTTTTTTAAAATATAGTATTTAGAATGATATATAAAGAAGAAAATAGTAACTTTTAAGTGGCTAAGCAATTTTAATTTTTTAGATGGTAGATATAGTTAGAAAAGTGAACAGAACAAATTAATGAGTCGAATTTTGCCCTTTAGACAAAATTACGATGATAGCAAGTGTGTGGGTTGCCCCAGGTTCCGTAGCTGCTTATGTCTAAACTTGAATATTCTGGAAAGAAGTTCTAACTGAAACCACCTTTGCAAAAAGTATAACAATGAGAAAATTATGACAGCGAAAGAGACCTAATCTAACTCCCATCTTGCCTTTAACCTCCAAATTGCCCTTGTTCATTCCTATACTTAGGCCAAGCTAACTTTGGGAAAAATTTAGTTTATAGTTTAAATGATAATAGATCTTCCCCAAAACTAAACTGCCTTTATAAAGCTAATGAAAGGCTACTAGGTTAGGAGGATAAAAAGGACCTGAATTTTGCTAAGACATAGGCATAAACCATTACCAGCCATTATTCTGGAGGTCACACTATTTGCAATTTCTCCAGTTCACTATAGTATTGGCCTTTTGAGATGTCTTTTCAGGCTTCTGCATTTCTGACTACTGGAAGACCCCATGCCAACCCTCAATTCTCTGCTCAACCAGTCCTGTGGACCCACTCAGAAGTGGACTCAGTGCACAAGGACTATTTTCCACACCCCTGTGATTGCATACCCAACCAGTCAGCAGCACCTATTCTCCTAGCCTCCTGCTCACCAAACGATCCTTGAAAAAGCCTAGACTCCAAATTTTCAAGGAGATTGATTTGAGTAATACTTCCACCTTCTGCTTGGTGTGACTTGCCTCATGCCAATTAAAGCCTTTCTTTATTGCAATGCCACACTTTCAGTGAATTGGTTTTGTCTGTGCAGTGAGCAAGAAGAACCTATCAGGTGATTATATGACTACTCAAACTTCCCCATAGCCTAGATATGCTATTGTCTAGGATTAAAAAGAAACAATCATTTGATTCTCAGTTCTCTTTAGAGTTCTGCACCCCCTTTCCCCCCATCTCCCCGCCAAAGCTCGTCCCATTTAAAATGGAAAGCTATTACTACAGGATAATTACTCCATAACTGCAGCCACCACCAATATCTAACCTCTTCCCAAGACTCATTACATATAAAAGAATAAAATAAGCATGCCCTCTTACATTTTTTATATAAGCAAATTATGCACTTTCACCTTGATCAACAGGATAATAACATGCATAAATCTCCTATTTTGACCCAAAAATTGTCTTTAAATAAGTTTCATGCAACTTTTATGTCTGAGAAGCCATTACATTTTTATTACTGAAGCAGTAATAGCCGTTTATTAGATTTTAAAAACCGCCCTACTGACCATTGAAAGCCTTTCCCCTTCCTCAAGAAGCTCTTAAATGAAAAAAAAAAAAAAAAAAAAAAAAAGCCCTTGTCCATCGTGATTACTAGGTATTAGTCACAGGTCATAAATAGCCCTATTTCTTACAGTAGGTTTTTAGGGAATTAAAATAGGACAAAATTAATAAACTGCCCTCTGAACTAGTTAAAAGCATCTCATTTAGGTTTATAAATATTCTGGAGATGTAATCAAAAGATTGCCAAAGCCAGTATCATCTGCATTTTTTTTGGAAACCAATAAATTAATAAAGCTTAATTCTGATTGTGTATTGCCCAAAAAACTGTACCACTAATAACGAATGGGCAAAAATGTTCTTCTGCTGAGGTTCCCCCCCTCAGTCTGAATCACACTTAAATATTTATGATTGCTCTTATTATAGTAAAACTACTCTCACATCCAGTTCCAACAGCGTAAAATCTCCACTTTAAAGGACTCCTCAGTAATTCTAAAACTTTGTTATACAGACTATCTTAGGAGCTTTTGCAGCTGGAGAACTAAAGACTGAGAATGAAAGCTTATACTGGGTGCAAGGATCAATAATAATCTCAACTGGAGTTGTTCTAAGGGAAGTCACAAGAAATGGATATTCTACTTCTTTGGCTTCCTAGTCTCAACATCCACGAAGTCCTTGGGAACGTGGTATAAGTTTCCATTCTTTATTTCTGTCTGTTTTCTGCCATGCTCCTATGACCTGAATGTTTGTGTTCCCCAGAAAATTCATATATAGAAGCCTTAACTCCAATTGTGATGATATTTAGAGATGGGGCCTTTGGGAGATAATTAGACTGTAAGGATGGGGCTCTCATGATGAGATAAATGTCCTTATAAGAAGAGGAAGAGACATGAGATATGGATATACAAGTTAAGAAGAAATTATTTAGGCAGATACTGAGTGTACAGGAGTCCTCGGTAAGGTTTTCCTTTTAATGAAAAGCAGCCCCAAAATCCTTTTCTTTTCTAACAAAAGGCAGCCTGTAAAATTAAGCTGCAGACAGAGACAAGCAAACTGGAAGCTTGCACGGGTGAATGCCAGCAGTTGTGCCAATACGAAAAGGCTACCTGGGACTAGGCATGTTCAAAATTGCAGCTCCATGTTCCCTTCTCTTTGCCAGCCATGCATACAGTAAGGAGCAGACAAGATGGCACCAGCCAAGTGGAAAGCCCGTTTGTATAGTAAGATTAGGGTGGGGTGACCAGCCTTCCCTGCATGCTATGTAAACGTCACAATTGGTCCAACCAATCTGTGGGCCCTATGTAACTCAGACGTGGCCTCCTCAAGTCCTGTCTATAAAATCCAGTGCACTCTACCACAGGTGAGAATTCCCACTTGGGCACCCCTCTCTCACACAAGACAGACAGCTGTTCTCCTTTCTCTTTCTTTTGCCTATTAAACCTCTGCTCCTAAACTCACTCCTTGTGTGTGTCCATGTCCTTAATTTTCTTGGCATGAGACAACAAACCTCATGTTTCTCTCTGTCTCTCTCTCTCTCCCTCCCTGCCTCCCCACCTCCTCCTTCCCCCTATGTGAAAATACAGAAAGAAGGCACCTGTCTGGAAACCAGAAATAGGGCCCTCACCAGACACTGAATCTACCAACACCTTGATCTTGGACTTCTCGGCCTCTAGAACTGTAAGAAATAAATGTTTGTTTGTGTAGGGTAGAAGAAAAGCTTCCTCTCTGCCCACTGAAGGTTTGCTGAAAATGAACTGACAAAAGAGAGATTGATCAGAGAAAGAGGCACACAAAATTTATTTAACATGCACAGGGGAAAATCACAGGAATGTGATTACCCAATAACCCAATGAGGTTCAGATGCTTATATATCCTCCTCCACAGGGGAAGGGGAGATGATGGGTGTAGGAGTAAATGCTTTTCAGGGAAATGAATGAGCCCAAAAAACAATGGCCTGAAACAAAGTTCTTCTGAGCTCTGAGGAAGGTGATAAAAAGGTGAGGGGTGGAAGTTCTTGTGAATAAATGTCTTATTATGTAGATGAAACCTCCCAAGTAATCTCCAAGAGCTGCCCTCAGGGGAAAAGATGAAAAGTCTGTTTGTGGTGGCAACTCTCAGTTATGTCTCTTCTCCAGCGGTTACTTAACGAGAGTCCTAGGGAGGAGGTCTTAAGACAATTGCTTTTCTTTTGGAAACAAGCTTTTTTTTTCAGATAAGAATATTCCAGAAGGAGTCCCTTCCAGTGCTTCAGGAAAGAAAGGAGATGGGGTGGGGGTGGGGGAGGGCACTTGGGGAGGGGAGGGTCAGAGAGAAACTTTGGTTCTGAGGCTTATTTTTTTTTTCCTTTTTTTTTTTTTTTTTTTTTTTTAGACAGAGTCTCACTCTGTTGCCCAGGCTGGCATGCAATGGCCCAATCTTGGCTCACTGCAGCTGCCACCTCCCAGGTTCCAGCGATTCTTCTGCCTCAGCCTCCCAGGCAGCTGGGATTACAGGCACACACCACCACAGCTGGCTAATTTTTGTATTTTTAGTAGAGACGAGGTTTCACCATGTTGGTCAAGCTGGTCTTGAACTCCTGACCTCAGGTGATCCACCTGCCTCAGCCTCCAAAAGTGTTAGGATTATAGGCGAGCGCCACCGTGTCCAGCCTCTGAGGCTTATTTCTGAGGCTACTCAATTTTATTTACTTCAAAGCATTCGGCATGACAAAGCATTGAAACAGCGTCATTGTGTGGGGTAAACACCCAGGGTTCCTCATCTCACACCAAGGAAATGGAGTATGCAGACACAAGAAGTGGGTTTAGGAGTGGAGGTTTAATAGGCAAAAGAAAGAGAAAGAATAGCTCTCTCTCCTGGGAGAAAGAGGGGCTCCGGAGTGGGACTTCCAGCCCACCACAGAGTGCACCAGATTTTATAGACAGGTTTGAGGGGGCGATTTCTGATTTACATAGGGCCCACAGATTGGTTGGACCACGTGTGACCTTTACATAGTTTGCAGGGGAAGCTGGCCACCCCACCCTAATTTTATTATGTAAATAGGCTTTCCACTTGGCCGGCGGCATCTTGTCTACTCCTTACTGTACACGTGGCTGGCAAAGAGAAGGGAAGATGGAGCCACCATGTTGGGCCTGCCTATCCCCAGCTAGCCTCTTTCCTGCTGGCACGGCTGCTGGCATTCACCCATGCAAGCTTCTAGCCTTCTTTTCTATGTCTCCAGATTGATTTCACAGGCTGCTCTTTGTTAGAAAAGAAAATGATTTGGGGGCTGCTTTTCATTAACAGGAAAACCTTCCTGAGGACTTCCTTACCCTCACTATCTGCCTAAATAATTTCTTCCTAACTGCTATATCAGCATCATATTTTGAGGTATCATTTTCTGCACCCAACAGTTGTCTAAGCTACTCAGTTTATGGTATTTCGTTATAGCAGCCCCAACTGACTAAGATAACTATATAGGCCTCTCTGGACACCACAGCTGCTATGGCCTGAAAATGAGAAAAGGGTTCGCTTCCTTTTCTCAAATCTCTCAACACTTTATTCATCCAAAGCCTATCACATTATTCTTTGTTTCATAGTCTTTGTGTACACACAGCTCTTTCCTACTAAGTAATTTCAGGCTATTCGTCCTCCTTTACAAACTTCCTAAAGCCTTGTACAAATTAGTCCCTTTAAAATATTGGGAGATGTGTAGATTTTTAAAAAGAGATTTAAAGACACATTAACTGATTACAATGCACAGAATTTAACTGAATCCTGATCCAGACAAATAAGTTGTTGAAAAAATTTGTGAGACAATGATGAAAAGTTGAACATTGACTGGGTACTTGACAATATTAAAGAACTGTTAGATGTGATAAGGGCATTGTGGTTATGCTGCTTAAAAAGTGTTGTGTATGTATGTATGTATGTATGTATATGGAAAAATGATGTGAAGTCTGGAATCTGCTTCAAGATAATTGGGAAAATAGGTGGGCATATAGGTGAAACAAGGTTGACTATGGATTGAATTGGGTGATGGGTACTTGGTATTGTTGCTTAAAAACCACCCAAACTTAGTAGATTAAAACATTTATTTTGCCAAAACATCTGTGATTTGGGCAGGAATTTGCAGGGAGAGCGCCAAACTATTTCACTTGGTGTCAGCTGGGGTAGTTTAAAAGTTAAAACTTGTAATAATCTGAAGACTCACTAAGTCATATGCCTGCTGGTTGATACTGGCTGTTGGCTGGAACCTTAGCTGGGGATATTGGCCAGAACACCTACATGTAGCCTGGACTTCCTCACAATATGACAGCTAAGTTCCAAAGGTGGAGAGTGAGAAGGGCAGAAGATGTATTGCCTTTTGTGACCTAGTCTCTTAAGTCATTGCTTCTAACACAGTCTATTGGTTAGATGTCACTAAAATGCAAAAATAGATATGAACAACAGGAAAAGCTTATGATGTTCTTGGATAGCAAGACATATCACACAGATGTTAGTTGTCTCTAAAGTAATAAATTTAGCACAAGCCCAATGAAAATACAATAAAGCATTTTACTGCAGTGAGAAGAACTATTTAAAGTTTACCTGGAAGAATAAACAAGGAAAAATTGCCAGAACAATTCTAAGGGAGCAATAAAGAGGAAATGGTTTTGCCAAGCATCAAATATATTATAAATCTTTGATAACTAAAGCAGTTTGGTACAAGTGCATAATTACAGGACAGGCTAATGGAAAACAAAAGAGCATATAGAAATTTAGTGTCAATTAATGGTAATAGCTCAATTGGTAGGGAAAAGATGGGCTTTCTAATAAATATTGTTGGGATAACTAGAGAGTCATATGGAAATAATTAAAATTGGATCAATTTCTCCCATCAATGTGAAAAGATGCTCCATCTTGCTCATAATAAGAGAAATGCAAATCAAAACTATACTTAAGTACATTTCTCACCTAAGAGGTTGGCAATATCCAAAATGTTTTCTCTAGTGGTACTCTAATACATTGCTAATATACACCATTTTTCCATAGAGGGGAATTTGGTAATATCTAGCAAACCTGAGAATGCATTTACCTTTTGAGCAAGAAATCCTGCTTCTAGGAATCTCCCAAAGCTATACTGGTAAAAATACAAACAACACAAAGCTATTCATTGCAGCACCATCTGTAATAGCAAAAGACTGGAAATAATTCAAATGCCTATCAAGAGGGGAAAAGTTGAATACACTGTGGAATATCTGCACAGTGAAGTAATATGTTGCTATAAAAAACAATAAGCTCTCTATATACTATTACGGCATTATCTCCAGGATATATGTTAGTGACAAAAGCAGGATGAATAAAATTGTATACATGACTTTTCTGCTTATCAAAAGAAGGGTTTTGAAAATATATGCTTATGTTTAAAGTAAATAAAAGAATAAACTATGAACAGGCTTCCTTTGGAAGAGGGAGAAATAGGATGAGGAGGATAGAAGACAGAAGCTACATTTCTTTGAATATACTTTTTCCTGTAAATTTGACTTTGAAACCATGTAAATATTTCCCACAATCATAAAGCAAAAATAAAATTTTAAATTCCTAAAAGACAAAAATGAAACACAATCCTGTGCATACAAATGACTTTAAAACACAGCAATCTGAGTGTACACCCCTAGTGAGCTATACTTATATGACAAAAAAAAAAAAAAAGGTTGTTTAGGGGAAATAAGAATTAGAAACTATTTAATGATTGAAGGCTGGGTAGAAGCTGTTATTCCGAGACCATTGTGTGTGAGTCTTGTATGAAACAAATGAGTAATTGTTAGTGTCATTGAGAAGTAGCATTTTCATCATAAAAGACAGGAAATACACAGATATAAGATCCATGAAGTTGAATAAAAAATTTACAGTACTGGCTGCACATGGTGGCTCATGACTGTAATCCCAGCACTTTGGGAGGCTGAAGCAGGCAGATCATCTGAGGTTGGGAGTTCGAGACCAGCCTAGCCAACATGGTGAAACCCTGTCTCTACCAAAAATACAAAAATTAGCTGGGCGGGTACCTGTAATCCCAGCTACTCGGGAGGCTGAGGCAGGAGAATCTCCTGAACCTGGGAGGCGGAGGTTGCAGTGAGCCAAGATTGCGCCACTGCACTCCAGCCTGAGCAACGAGCGAAACTCCATCTCAAAAAAAAAAAAAAAAATTAGAGTACTGAATTTGAAGTACTGGTATAAAGATTATAAACAGAATGAATATACACAGACAGCCACGCATCACTTAACAATAAAATACATTCTGAGAAATGTGTCTTAGGCAATTTCAGTCATTGCGTGAATGTCATAAAGTGTACTTAAACAAACATAGATGGTATAGCCAGCCTACTACACATCTAAGCTGTATGGTGTAGTCTATGGCTTGTAGGCTACAAACCTGTACAGGATGTTACTGTACTGAATACTGTAGGCAATTATAATACAAGAGTAAGTATTTGTATATATAAACATACAAAAAGTACAGTAAAAGTACAGTACTATCTTATGGGACCACCATTATATATGCAGTTTGTCGAACAAAACATCGTTATGTGATGCAGGACTGTATTTCTTAGCTCTGTCCACTAAGTGATTAATGATCAAACCAGTAGAAATGAGCTCCCCAATGCATGTCATGTGTATTACAGTCCATATAATAACATTTCTGAAAAAGCAAACAAAATTCTTTGCAAAAATAGGTCTGATTCCAGGTCTGAGGAGGGAAATGTACAACATAAACCTGAACTATCTTATTACCAGAACGCAAGAAAGCTAACAAAGAATACTTAAACACTAATTAAAGATAGGACAATCAATATCAATAAGAGTAATTAACTGCAATAGATTAGAAAACATCAAAAATCTATGATTATATTAATGCTGGTTGTGAAGAAAAAAACACTTATATACTGTTGGTGGGAGTGTAAATTAGTTCAACCATTGTGGAAGACAGTGTGGCGATTCCTTACAGATCTAAAGACAGAAATACCATTCGACCCAGCAATCTCATCACTGGGTATATACCCAAAGGAATATAAATCATTCTAGTATAAAGACACATGCACACATATGTTCATTGCAGCATTATTCACAATAGCAATGACATGGAACCAACCTAAATGCCCATCAATGATGACTGGATGGAGAAAATGTGGAATATATACACCGTGCAATACTATGCAGCCATAAAAAGAATGAGATCATGTCCTTTGCAGGGACACAGATGAAGCTGGAGGCCATTACCCTTAGCAAACTAATGCAGGAATAGAAAACCCAATAGCACATTTTCTCACTTGTAAGTGGAAACTAAATGATGAGAACACATGGACACATTGAGGGGAACAGCACACACCGTGGCCTATTGGAGGAAGGAGGGTGGGAGAAGGGAGAGGATCAGGAAAAGTAACTAATGGGTACTAGACTTAATACCTGGGTGGATGAAATAATCTGCATAACAAACTCCCATGACACAAGTTTACCTATGTAACAAACCTGCGCATGTACCCCTGAACTTAAAAGTTAACAAAAAGCCTATCGACCATCTTTAAAGGATATTAGAGAACTAATTCATTATTCTGAAAACTGGCAAATAAAGGAAAATAACTATTTTTTCTATACAAACCAGATCTCAGAGTAACCAAATTATCAAGGGAAATTCTTCTGTTGAAATTATCACAGCTAGTATGTAAAGAAAACTATAACGAATTAATAGATCCAGCTAGTGATCACCAATTGCTGCTAATATCACTAGGAGAGATGAAGTAACCAACATCTATGAAACAGTATGCAAGACAGAAAGTGTATGAGTATTGAATCTGAATCCGAGGAAGCCTCTACATCTAGGACTGGTTTCATAGGTGTAATCTATTCAGTTTCACAGGGCTCTGAGCTCAGAAGGGTCCCATTTTATGTTCTGCTGCCCTGTTTGGACCAGCCAAGGTGGCTCACACCTGCAATCCCAGTACTTTGGGAGGCCAAGGTGGGAGGATCACTTGAGGCCAGGAGTTTGAGACCATCCTGAGCAACATAGCGAGACCCTGTATCTACAAAAAATACAAAAATCAGCCAGGCATGCTGGTGCATGCCTGTAGTCCTAGCTACTTGGGAGGCTGAGGCAGGAGGATCCCTTGAGCCCAAGAGCTCATGAGTGCAGTGAGCTATGATTATACCCCTGCACTCCAGCCTGAGTGACAGAACAAGACCCTGTGTGAAAGAAAAAGAATTAGTTCGTTTTTACACTGCTATAAAGAACTACCTGAGACTGGGTAATTTATAAAGAAAAGAGGTTTAATTGACTCACAGTTCCACATGGCTGGGGAGGCCTCAGGAAAGTTACAATCATGGTGGAAGGCAAGGAGAGGCAAGCATCTTCTTCACAAGGTGGCAGGAGAGAGCGAGCACGAGTGGGGAAGTCCCACATTTATTTAAACCATCAGAGCTTGCAAGAACTTATGAGAACAGCATGGGGAATATCTGCTCCCACGATCCAATCACCTTCCACCAGGTCCCTCCCACAACATGTGGGGATTACAATTTGAGATGAAATTTGAGTGGGGATACAGAGCCAAACCAATGGAAGGAGGGAGAGAGGAAGAAAGGAAGGGAGGGAGGGAGTGAGGAGGGAGGGGGGGGAGTGAGGGAAGGGGGGAGTGAGGGAGGGAGGGAGTGAGGGGAGGGCAAGAAAGAAAGGAAGGGAGAGAGAAAGAGCAAGAAAGAAAAAAAAAGGAAAGAGAAGAAGAGGGGAAGGGAGGGGAGGAAGGGAAATTTGAACAACAGGTCCAACATTTTCATTTTGCACTGGGCCCAAAGTATGTTGCATTCATGTCTACATCTGACTACTAATTTACAGGAAGTAAGTGTTGTAGTTTAAAGAGCTGTCCACAAATTCTTTGATACTCCTTCCTGCCAAAAGCAAAGCCTAGTTCCTCTCTCCTTAAGTATGGGCTGTACTTTGTGATTTGCTTGAAATGAATTGAACAGATTAGAAATGATGGTGTGTGACTTCCAAGAATAGATTATAAGACACTGTGGCATCCACCTTGCTCTAAGGTCACTTGCACTGGAGTAAGCGAGCTGACATGAGAGGAGCCTCAAGCAGTTGTATGGAGAGGTGCATGTGGTGAGGGACCAAGGCCTCCAGCCAACAGCCATGTGAGTGAGCCATCTTGGAGTGGCTCCTTCTGCCCTGATCAAGCTTTTAGATCACTGCAGCCCCAGCTTACAGTTTGAATGCAACCTCATGACAGACCCTGAGTGATAACCACTCGGCCAAGCCACTTTTGAATTTCACACAGCAATTGTGAGGTAATGTTAATTATTGTTTTAAGTTGCTACGTTTTGAGGAAATTCATTACACAGGAATATATAATACAAGAAGAAACAAGGAACATGCTCACTTACAGTGTGGGACTACAATCACCAAAATCCAGGCCAGGCATGGTGGCTCACACCAGTAATCCCAGCACTTTGGGAGGCTGAGGCGGGCGGACCACGAGGTCAGGAGATGGAAACCATTCTAGCTAACACGGTAAAACCCCGTCTCTACTAAAAATACAAAAAATTAGCTGAGTGTTGTGGCAGGCGCCGGTAGTCCCAGCTACTTGGGAGGCTGAGGCAGGAGAATGGCGTGAACCTGGGAGGCGGAGCTTGCAGTGAGCCGAGATCGCGCCACTGCACTCCAGCCTGGGCAACAGAGCGAGACTCCATCTAAAAAAAAAAAAAAAAAAAAAAGACAAAATCCATCCTGTGGGAAAATCACCTAACACCTTCAACCAAAACATTTCAAAGAAAAAAGAGCACATCATAGGCACCTTTTTTGGATCCGGATTCAAGCAAACTACTAAAAAAACAGTTACAGGGCAATTAAAACTATGCAAATACTGACTGGATATCTGATGGTATTATGAAGTTATTGCTGATCTTTTAGGGAGGTGGGGATGATGATAGTACCATAGTTATGTTTTAAAAGGGAAGTCCGTGACTTCTAGAGATACACACTAAAATATTTAAAGATAACATGTCTAGAATTTTCTTCAAAATGTCTCTGGAAGGGAGAGAATTGGTGGGAAAAAGGAAATAAGATTAACCATGAGTTGATCACTATTGAAGCTGAGTGATGAGAACATAGTTCATTTCATAATTCTCCACAGTAAATATTTTTTAAAAAGGAAACTATAATGAATTAATAGATTTAGCTAGTTATCACCAACTGCTGCTAACATCACTAGGAGGGATGAAGTACCCAACATCTATAAAGCACTACTTCAAGAAAAAAAGTGTATGAGTATCAAATATGAACCTGATCAAGCGTCTACATCCAGGGCTGGTTACATCAACATACATAAACAAATACCACACAACATTTAAGAGTGGGCTTAACAAAACTAATTACAAACAAGATGAAGACTATAAGGGTTTGAATGTTTTATTATCTAATATAATTAAAAGTAAATAATGATTTTTAAGTGTCAAAACCAAACTCCAGACTCCACATTACTAATTACTCCATCTACTCAAGGAAATACTCTGAATTGGAATTGGTATTTTTGGCACATATTATTTGACCCGGTAATCCATAATAACCTCAGAAGTATTATGCCTTCTTTTTAATTGTTCAATTCAAATCATAATCATATTTAGTCACCAGATGGACTTTCTTCTTCACCTATTCCATCATGTTAGAAAAACAGTGTAAATTAGCACCTTATAATGACTCATGATAGACTTTTACCATCCACATAGGAAAGCAGTGAGGAGAAGGTTACCCTAACCATTCAATGGTAAAAGAGACATAAACAGATGCTATTCACAAGTCTCAGTGTGCCAGTGGCAATTACCACCTGTTCTACTCCATCGATTAAGAGCTACGCATGAACAAGAAGCCAAGAGACAGAAAAATCATGCAGACACAAATCTTTACTGCAACAATTGCATTTTAAATTCCTTCATTAAAAATACACACCACACATAGTTATAATAGAGTAATACAAAGGACAGGCAATTACATGACTACCCTGAGCTGAGATCAGATTGGGGCAAGTTCACAAAGGTCTCACCTCCGTTCTCTTCTTTCCTTTACCAATAGGAGGGAGAGACTGCTCTATGCAGATGTCTTAGGAAAATAATCAACTGGAGATGCCTCATTATTTCTCATTCTTTCCAATTCAGAATTTGTCATAACTCTTGGCTTGAGCTTGGCTGCAGGTATCACTAACATGATAAAAAGGTGGATTGATCAGCAATACAAAATTGTAAACGTGGTTTAACTATGAAAAAAAAAATTCTCCGTCAAACTTGCGTACAGATTTTTTTTAAATGAGAAAAAAATATTCTAACACATAAGTTAACATTAATAATGGGTCTGGATAAGACTGTAGTTCCATCTCTCTTCCTCCCTTATTTTTTTCTGAATTTTAAAATATATATATCTTCTTTGTTTTTTCTTTTTTAATCTTAGCTTACTGCAGCCTCAAACTCCTGGGCTCAAGGGATCCTCCTGCCCCAGCCTCCCAAGCAGCTAGGACTCCAGATGTGTGCCACCATGCCTAATTTTTTTTCATTTTTTTGTAGAGTCAGTGTATTAGGCCACTTTTGTGCTGCTATAAAGAAATACCTGAGGCTGGGTAATTTATAAAGAAATGAGGTTTAATCGTCTTAAGGTTCTGCAGGCCTTAAGAAAGCATAGTTCTGGCATCTGCCTCTGATGAGGCCTCAAGAAGTTGACAACATGGCAGAAAGTAACAAAGAGCCAGTCTGTCACATGACAAAAGTGAGAGCAAGACAGAGGTTGGGAGTGCCACACACTCTTAAAGAACCAGATCTCCAGTGAACTAACTAAGCGAGAACTCACTTAACACTGAGGGAATGGTACTGAACCATTCATGAGGGATCTGCCCCCATGATCCAATCACCTCCCACCAGGCCCTACCTCCAACACTGAGAATCACATTTCGACCTGAGATTTGGAGGGGACAAACATCCAAACCGTATCAGACTGGGTTTCACTATGTTGCCCAGGGTGGTCTTGAACTCCTGACCTCAAGTAATTCTCCTACCTCCGCCTCCCAAAGTGCTGGGATTACAGGCGTGAGCCACTGTACCTGGCTTATTGTTTCTTGAATATCATATATTTCCTTTTAAATGAAACACTTAAAATGAGCTATTATTGTTATCCCTATATGAGAATTTAAAAAAAAAATTTATCAGCACAGTGGCAGGTTAATAAATGTCCTTTATTTAAAATTTAAATACATTACATTCACTAAAACAACTGCAGAAGAAATGTACTTAAAATTCGTGCCTAAGTTATTTCAAAGTATTTTTCCATAAAAAATATAATTCAGACTGGCCTCCTCTCAATATGATTCACGTGTTGTTGCAAATAGGGGCTATACATTTTCTACCAATGTGACAGAAATAGTAAGCAGAATCAGTTCCTTATCTCACAAAAACTATAGAATTGTACTGAACAAAAAAGAGGTTACTTACTGTAAGGTATTATGTTTCAATGACCATTTGTCACTTAACAACAATAATAAATACAAATGAAAATAAACAGACAATTGAGCCTTAAAGAGAAAAATGAGAGAAAGCAAAACAAGAAAACTGAACTGCTGCACACAGGAATATTAAATTGTTCTTAAACGGCTTGTAAAGCAATTCAGGAAGGATAAAGGTGGGGAGGGGGGAATGTGTGTTTATAACACTCTCATGTTATTCTGTAAGCTGTCAAATATGAGCCATCTTTACCTGAAGTCATGAACAGTGCCAAATCTACATTTAATTGGTGTACCTGAAAGTGACAGGGAGAATGGAACCAAGTTGGAAAACACTCTTCAGGATATTATCCAGAAGAACTTCCCCAATCTAGCAAGTCAGGCCAACATTCAAATTCAGGAAATACAGAGAATGCCACAAACATATTCCTTGAGAAGAGCAACCCCAAGACACATAATCATCAGACTCACCAAGGTTGAAATGAAGGAAAAAATGTTAAGGGCAGCCAGAGAGAAAGGTCACTTTACCCACAAAGGGAAGCCCATCAGATTAACAAGGAATCTCTTGGCAGAAACCCTACAAGCCAGAAGAGAGTGGGGGCCAATATTCAACATTCTTAAAGAAAAGAATTTTCAACCCAGAATTTCATATCCAGCCAAACTGAGCTTCATAAGCGAAGGAGAAATAAAATCCTTTACATACAAGCAAATGCTGAGATATTTTGCCACAACCACACCTGCCTTTCAAGAGCTCCTGAAGGAAGCACTTCACATGGAAAGGAACAACCAGTACCAGCCACTGCAAAAACATACCAAATTGTAAAGATCATCAATGCTATGAAGAAACTGCATCAACTAATGGGCAAAATAACCAGCTAGCATCATAATGACAGGATCAAATTCAAACTTAACAATATTAACCTTAAATGTAAATGGGCTAAATGCACCAATTAAAAGACAAACACTGGCAAACTGGATAAAGAGTCAAGACCCATTGGTGTGCTGTATTCAGGAGACCCATCTCACGTGTAAAGACACTCACAGGCTCAAAATAAAGGGATGGAGGAATATTCAAAAGCAAATTCAGAAAGCAAAAAAAAGCAGGGGTTGCGATCCTAGCCTCTGATAAAATAGACTTTAAACCAACAAAGATCAAAAGAGACAAAGAAGGCCATTACATAATGGTAAAGGGATCAATGCAACAAGAAGAGCTAACTATCCTAAATATATATGCACCCAATAAAGGAGCACCCAGATTGTAAAGCAAGTTCTTAGAGACCTATAAAGAGACTTAGACTCCCACACAATAATAACGGGAGACTTTAACACTTCACTGTCAACACTAGACAGATCAACAAGACAGAAAATTAACAAGGATATCCAGGACTTGAACTCAACTCTGGACCAAGTGGACCTAATAGACATCTATAGAACTCTCCACCCCAAATCAACAGGATATACATTCTTCTCAGCACCACATTGCCCTTATTCTAAAATTGACCACATCATTGGAAGTAAAACACTCCTCAGCAAATGCAAAAGAACAGAAATCATAACAGACAGTCTGTCTGATCACAGTGCAATCAAATTAGAACTCAGGACTAAGAAACTCACTCAAAACCACACAACTACATGGAAACTGAACAACCTGCTCCTGAATGACTAGTGGGTAAATAATGAAATGAACGCAGAAATAAAGATGTTCTTTGAAACCAATGAGAACAAAGACACAATGTACCAGAATCTCTGGGACACATTTAAAGCAGGGTGTAGAGGGAAATGTATAGCACTAAATGCCCACAAGAGAAAGCAGGAGAGATCTAAAATTGACACCCTACCACCACAATTAGAAGAACTAGAGAAGCAAGAGCAAACAAATTCAAAAACTAGCAGAAGACAAATAATAACCAAGATCAGAGCAAAAATGAAGGAGCTAGAGACCGAAAAGCCTTCAAAAAAAATCAGTGAATCCAGGAGATGGTTTTCTGAAAAGATCAACAAAATAGACAGACTGCTAGCCAGACCAATAAAGAAGAAAAGACAGACGAATCAAATAGACACAATAAAAAATGATAAAGGGGATTTCACCTCCCATCCCAAAGAAATACAAACTACCATCAGAGAATACTATAAACACCTATATGCAAATAAACTAGAAAATCTAGAAGAAATAGATAAATTCCTGGACACATACACCCTCCTAAGGCTAAACCAGGAAGAAGTCAAATCCCTGAATAGATCAATCACAAGTTCTGAAATTGAGGCAGTATTTAATAGCTTACCAACCAAAAAAACTCCAGGACCAGACAGATTCACAGCCAATTCTACCAGAGGTACAAAGAGGAGCTGGTACCATTCCTTCTGAAACTATTCCAAACAATAGAAAGAGAGGGAATCCCCCCTAATTCATTTTATGAGGCCAGCATCCTGATACCAAAACCTGGCAGAGACACAACAAAAAAAGAAAATTTTAAGCCAATAACCCTGATGAACATCGATGCGAAAATCCTCAATAAAATACTAGCAAAATAAATCCAGCAGCACATCAAAAAGCTTATCCACCACGATCAAGTCGGCTTCATCCCTGGGATGCAAGGCTGATTCAACATATGCAAATCAATAAACATAATCCAAGACATAAACAAAACTAATGGCAAAAACCACGATTATCTCAATAGATGCAGAAAAGGCCTTTGACAAAATTCAACAGCACTTAATGCTAAAAACTCTCAATAAACTAGGTATTGATGGAATGTATTCTCAAAATAATAAGAGCTATTTATGACAAACCCACAGCCAATATCATACTGAATTGGCAAAAACTGGAAGCATTCCCTTTGAAAACCGGCACAAGACACGGATGCCCTCTCTCACCACTCCTATTCAACATAGTGTTGGAAGTTCTGGTCAGGGCAATCAGGCAAGAGAAAGAAATAAAGGGTATTCAATTAGGAAAAGAGGAAGTCAAATTGTCTCTGTTTGCAGATGGCATGCTTGTACATTTAGAAAACCCCATCGTCTCAGCCCTAAATCTCCTTAAGTTGATAAGCAACTTCAGCAAAGTCTCAGGATACAAAATCAATGTGCAAAAATCACAAGCATTCCTATATACCAATAACAGACAGACAGAGCCAAATCATGAGTGAACTCCCATTCACTATTGCTACAAAGAGAATAAAATACCTAGGAATACAACTTACAAGGGATGTGAAGGAACTCTTCAAAGAGAACTACAAACCACTGCTCAAGGAAATAAAAGAAGACACAAACAAATGGAAGAACATTCCATGCTTATGGATAGGGAGAATCAGTATCGTGAAAATGGCCATACTGCCCAAAGTAATTTATAGATTCAATGCTATCCCCATCAAGCTACTATTGACTTTCTTCACAGAATTGGAAAAAACTACTTTAAATTTCATATGGAACCAAAAAAGACTCGCATAGCCAAGACAACCCTAAGCAAAAAGAACAAAGTTGGAGGCTTCACTCTACTTGACTTCAAACTATACTACAAGCTACAGTAACCAAAACAGCATGGTACTGGTACCCAACAGAGATATATAGACCAATGGAACAGAACAGAGGCCTCAGATATAACACCACCACACATGTACAACCATCTGATCTCTGACAAACCTGACAAAAGCAAGAAATGGGGAAAGGATTCCTTATTTAATAAATGGTGTTGGGAAAACTGGCTAGCCATATGCAAAAAGCTGAAATTGGATCCTTCCTTACACCTTATACAAAAATTAACTCAAGATGGATTAACGACTTAAAAATAAGACCTAAAACCATAAAAACCCTAGAAGAAAACCTAGGCAATATTATTCAGGACGCAGGCATGGGCAAACACTTCATGACTAAAACACCAAAAGCAATGGCAACAAAAGCCAAAATTGACAAATGGCATCTAATGAAACTAAGAAGCTTCTGCACAGCAAAATAAACTATCGTCAGAGTGAATAGGCAACCTACAGAATGGGAGAAAATTTTTGCAATCTATCCATCTGACAAAGGGCTAATATCAAGAATCTACAAAGAATTTAAACAGATTTACAAGAAAAAAACCCCATCAAAAAGTGGGTGAAGGATATGAACAGACACTTTGAAAAAGAAGACATTTATACAGCCAAAAAACATATGAAAAAATGCTCATCATCACTGGTCATCAGAGAAATGCGAATCAAAACCACAATGAGATGCCATCTCATGCCAGTTAGAACAGCTATCATTAAAAAGTCAGGAAACAACAGATGCTGGAGAGGATGTGGAGAAATAGAAACACTTTTACACTGTTGGTGAGAGTGTAAATTAGCTTAACTACTGTGGAAGACAGCGTGGCGATTCCTCAAGGATCTAGAACTAGAAATACCGTTTGACCCAGCCATCCCATTACTGGGTATATACCCAAAGGATTATAAATCATGCTACCACATAGACACATGCACACGTATGTTTATTGCGGCACTGTTCATAATAGCAAAGACTTGGAACCAACCCAAATGCCCATCAATGATAGACTGGAAAAAGAAAGTGTGACACATATACACCATGGAATACTATGCAGCCATAAAAAAGGATGAGTTCATGTCCTTTGTAGGGACATGGATGAAGCTGGAAACTATCATTCTCGGCAAACTAACAAAAGAACAGAAAACCAAACACCACATGTCCTCACTCATAAGTGGGAGTTGAACAATGAGAACACATGGACACCAGGAGGGGAACATCACACACCGGGGCCTGTCAGGGGGTTGGGGGCTAGGGGAGGGATAGCATTAGGAGAAATACCTAATATAGATGATGGGTTGATGGGCACAGCAAAACACCATGGCACATGTATACCTACATAACAAACCGGCATGTTCTGCACATGTACCCTGGAATTTAAAGTACTAAAAAAAAAAAAAAAGAATAGAAAGATCGTTTAAAAAAAAAAAAAAAAAAAAAAAAGAGCAGGCCGGGCGTGGTGGCTCACACCTGTAATCCCAGCACTTTGGGAGGCCGAGGCGGGCCGATCACCTGAGGTCAGGAGTTTGAGACCAGCCTGATCAACATGGAGAAACCTCTTCTCTACTAAAAATACAAAATTAGGCGGGCGTGGTGGCGCATGCCTGTAATCCTGGCTACTCAGGAAAATTGCTTTATAACACGGGAGGTGGAAGCTGCGGTGAGCCGAGAGCGCGCCATTGCACTCCAGCCTGGGCAATGACCGAAACGCCATCTCAAAAAAAAAAAAAAAAAAAAAAGTGAAATAATTACATCTGCGGCAACCTGGATGGAATTGGAGACCATTATTCTAAGTGAAGTAACTGAGAAATGGAAAATCAAACATCGTATGTTCTCGGTCATGAGTGGGAGCTAAGCCATGAGGATGCAAAGGCGTAAGAATAATACAGGGGATTTTGGGGACTCAGGGAAAGGGTGAGAGGAGGGTGAGGGATAAAAGACTACACATTGGCAACTGCTGCTAATCAAAGTGTAGATTCCAGGCAACTTGAGTCTTTGCTCCCAGGTTATAATCCTTAAACTTGACCCAAATAAACTGTCTACTTATTAAAAAAAAAAAAAAAAGACTACATATTGGGTACAGTGTACACTGCTTGGGTGATGGGTGCACCAAAATCTCACACATCACCACTAAAGAACTTACTCATGTAACCAAATGCTACCTGTTCCCCAGCAACCTATAGAAATAGATAAAAATTAAAAAAAAAAATTAAACATTCTACATACATTTTCCCCCAAGAAAAAGCTGGGTGCTATCTTACAAATCAGAGACTTAGGGTTTAGAAAATAAAGATTATGACATTTAAAAAATACTATACAATATACACAGTTTTGGAATTTCCATATGAAATTATCAGAATGTCCACCTGGTTTTCTATATGCAACCTTATTTCTGCCTGTACACCCACATTCAAACTCTTATCTCCAACCCACAGGCAGTTCTAGTCTGAGGTAACAGCTCAGTCATCCCTTTGGGTCTTAGTGATGTCATCCTTGTTTGGTCCACCTTCATCACTGCTTTTGCCAAACACCAAACGTCTATCAGAAACAGGCACAGCTGGCCCGCTCTCATCTATTTTAAGCCACAGGATCCCAACAGGACAGAAGACATTGCCTCCTGGTAGTCTACTGTGACAGTAATGCTCTCATAACCTTTTTCTCAAGGTCACTCTCTATAGCCTCTTATCATGGCTCACTTGATCCAGCGTTTAGTTCTTCCTGACTCTAGATTTAGATCAAGCAATTGTAAAAACCCATGAGGTGGCGCCTCATTAATCTAGGATTCTGAGGTCTTTATTTCATGGACTGTTTGACAGCTTATCTAGATAATAAGAAGGAAAAACACCATAATATTAGTAGAACTGGCTATTACTGCTTCATAGGAACAAAGCTGCTCAATGATTCTAGAGCTGAATGGAACCTGAATTTTATATATAATACTAAGTAACTCGGTAATACCTACCTTTCTTTCTTTCGAGACGGAGTCTCACTCTGTCTCCCAGGCTGGAGTGCAGTGGCGCCATCTCGGCTCACTGCAAGCTCCGTCTCCCAGGTTCACGCCATTCTACTGCCTCAGCCTCCAGGGTAGTTGGGACTACAGGCACCCATCACCATGCACAGATAATTTTTTTGTATTTTTAGTACAGATGGGGTTTCACCATGTTAGCCAGGATGGTCTCAATCTCCTGACCTCGTGATCCGCCTGCCTTGGCCTCCCAAAGTGCTGGGATTAAGGGCGTGAGTCACCACGCCCGGCCCCTTTCTTTCTTTAAAGATGGTGCCACAGACATGCCCCTCTCAGTCTCCTGATTAAAATCCTAATTGTGCTAACATGCCCATTTATCTCAAAACTGAAACCATTTTTTTTCCCAGCTGAGCACATCTTTGAGTTTAGGGCTGTTCTTGCCTTTGCAGATTAGAATTGGGTTGGTTGGTTTTGTTTGTTTGTTTGTTTTGCCAAAGAATGAAAAGAAACTGGAAGGGAAAACCCAGCAATATGATTGATTTTCTATGTTCTTTCAAAGTAATTTTTTCCTGTGAGTTTACATGTGAAACGGCAATGAGTATCAATTCTTCATAAAAGTGACTGAATTACCCTGGGGCAGAGGTTGCAGTGAGCCGAGATTGCACCACTGCACTCCAGCCTCGGTGACAATGCAAGATTCTGTCTCCAAAAAAAAAAAAAAAAAAAAAGCAACTGAATAGGAAAACATGTTCTTTAATAAACATAAGAGATAGTCAAGTCTAAATAAAATAATAATGATAATAATAACAGATTCTACACCACAGTTGTATACACTTCCAGTGAAGCTTTATGCATTCCATTCTGAGCTCCTAATACCAGGTAAACACGAATCATAGGTGGAAATATGCCATGTTTAGCACTAGAAGTAACATCACAGTTTATTAGCAAAATAAAGCAGAAAATGATCAAAATGATCAGGTAAATAAATATTACAACATATAATGTACTGGTGATGAAGCTGCAATAAAGTAATATAAGTGATGTTTACAATTTTTTTTTTTTTTTTTTTTTTTTTTACTGGGAAGGCTAGTTGTAAACATAAACATTCTCACTGAACTACTGGCCCCCCAAAACCTAACCTATCTCACAATCAATAATCATCTTTTGACTATAAAATCATAAAAACTTGTACTCTGTGGCTCTTTTGTCTCGATGATTTTTCAGAGAAAAAAATTAGCTGTGTTAAGTAGTTTCACTGATTTATCCATCTTGAATAGCTGCCAGTTCTGGAACTTCATACATCCTCAGAACGTCTTCATAGAGCAAATAATTATGTAGGCTTCTGGGAAGTGGCAGCTGACTAATATAACTGTCAGACCGTAGACGTTCTGATTTTAGACTGGACCGAATTTCCAAACGACAAAGATGGGTCAGGGATGGAACAGTGGCTGGAGAAACAAAAAAAGCAAGGTGAAACTTTTTTAAACAGAAAGATGTAATAGCACATAAAGGTAAATTTTTTTTTCCCCCAACTCTTAGTAATAAAAGTGATATATTGCTTGAAAGAAGACTACTTTGAGTCAGTATGACCACAATAAACCTTATTTATTCTTTTCTACAGCCTTCAACTGGCTCCTCTCCCTTCAGTTTGTTGGCCACACATTCAAAGTCAGTATCCAGGGCCGCAAACACTAAATGCTCAAATTCTAAAGATCTGTTAATACCTGCACTTAAGAAATGGATGAACCAACTTTAGAAATGGTGGAAGCTCACAATAGCAAATGCTACCTTCCTCTTAATCTATTTCATTACAAATGGTTTCCAGACCTATCACATCAAGTGAATAGATGTACAGCTTGCAAGTTTTCCTTTTTATCCATAACATAAAATGAAAATTTTTAATTGACTCTGAGAGAAAGGGAGTATTTACTGAGTGCCTTCTATGCCATAAGCCCATGTACTTCACTCAAATTCTCTTTTTATCTTCATTAACTTCATGAAGTATATATTATCAGGCTGTTGTAGAAATTTAAAAAAACAACTTTCCAAAGTCACAGAGCTAGTAAGCAGCAGAGCCAGGATTCAAACTCAGATCTATCTGAACCCAAAGCGTGTGTGTGTGTGTGTGTGTGTGTGTGTGTGTGTGTGTGTGTGTATCTGGCAAGGCAGTGCAGCCAAAAGCTAACTACCAATTAAAGGACAATTCAAATGCACATAATTAAGAACTGTATGATAGGCCAGGCGCGGTGGCTCATGCCTGTAATCCCAGTACTTTGGGAGGCTGAGGCGGGCAGATCACCTGACGTCAGGAGTTCAAAACCAGCCTGACCAACATGGTGAAACAACGTCTCTACTAAAAATACAAAATTAGCTTGGCGTGGTGGCACATGCCTGTAATCCCACCTACTAGGGAGGCTGAGGCAAAATAATTGCTTGAACCTGGGAGGCGGAGGTTGCAGTGAGCCGAGATCATGCCACTGCACTCCAGCCTGGGCAACAAGAGGGAAACTCCTTCTCAAAAAAAAAAAGAAAAGAATCATATGATAGCAGTTTCATTTTCCAAGATGAAAAGTGTTAAATAAAGAAGTTAATGTCTGCTTTTATGTGAATCGGACCAAAGCCTTTTGTTAATTCAAGAAATCTTTTATAAATCCCTGTGAAATTTAACAATGATGAACAGACCAGGATCAGAGCATCAAAGACAAGTACTATCAAGAGCACAGCTGATACCAGACCAGCTAGTCTGATTCCAGGTATAGGGTTCTTTAAACTCTAATACCCATAGGGCTTGAGACCAATTAATTCTCTAACATCTTCAATATCTTCCAAGCCATAGAAGTTAACTCATCATCGTTTTTAGTTTACTAGTTTAGGTTTAGTTTAGTTTATTCAGAATTAAAGAAATCACTCAAACTGGTGTTTCAAAATGCCAAATAAGAAAGCAAAAGTTATCGATTTTGTACATAAAACCTAAGTCTAAGCTGGGCATTTTCTTAAATCATGAGTCATAGATTCCCTATTATAAATAATAAGATTACAGTATCTATAGTATATAGCACGCACATTTATTTCTAACTTTTTTCATATCCATATCTTACTTAAATTTGACACTTTTCTGTAAACTTAAAGGAGAAATGATGGTTCTCACATGAAAGATGGGAAGACACAGGTAAAGGGGCCACTGGAGGAAGTTGCAGGAATACATATGGAAAGCAGGCCCAAGCTGCAAACACCACCGTTTTCCAAAGGTTTAAGTAGATTGACTATGTTCAACTATCAAGTATAAGGAAGCCCTCTTAGTAGGATCATGAACAATAATTGGTCAGTTAATAGAAACTCACCTTAAAGCAGGTGACCACAACAACCATACATACTTTAAACATTCTAATTTAAAATGGATACATGAACACATCTAGAATGCAACATCTATGGCTTGCAGTTTATTTATGTATTTTTTACTCACCACTATATAAATAAGGACACAGTTTCACTTTCTTTGAGTTACAGCATGGATTTAAAGGCATGTATGAAACAAGGTGAGTGCATAATCCTTCCATATTTTTACAGGTTTTTTTGCTTTCAGTTGTTGTAGCCACGTCTAATTCAATATCTATTTCTGTTCTGTGCTTATCTTTATCAAGTCTTTTGCATTCTACTTTGCCTTAACAGCAACAATGATTCTCTTTTCACACTCATAATTCATTAGCTTGTGCAATCTGGAATTATTTAACTCCAATAATATGCACAACGTAATAAAAAGTTTCAGAAATAAGCATAACTGCTGTTTGGTAAGCACACACCTCTGCTGGTAGGAACACTGGCATTCTAGAGTGTAGCTGGCCAGCTGCAAACACAGAGCATGCCAATGGACATAGTCAGATGGAAATGAAAGAGAAAATGACAAGACTGTTTAATCCAGTGTGTGTTTTTAAAGAGAATTTCTACTTATATTCAGTTAGAGTTTAACAGGCATCTGTTAAATTGAATCTCTTCATTCTGCACATTCTTAGGAACATGAATACTTACTACACAACCAGAAGGAAGATAAAGGATGGCTGTGCAACCCGGAGGAGAGCTGCTCACATGGAGATAAGGGATCCTTAATGATGCTCCAGCTTCTCAGAGTGGACAGACTACACTGGCTTAAAATTCTATGGGCTGACTGGGAAGATTCCTCCAGATACCCTAAAACTTAATGTAGTGCTGACCAGCTTTTCTAGATTATGTGACTACATCACTGGAGGTCTATCTTTAAAGCTTAATAAATCATTTGTTTATGCTAATTATGTGTAGAAGCTTAACCATTAGTGATCAAGCCACACTAGACCAGTTCGCATTTGTTAGGAGAAGCGTAACTGACTTGCCCACTGAGATGTGGCACATCAACAACATAGCTGTTGTTAACTAGATCTCAATGATTTGACTCCCAGTCCAGGGTTCTTTAAACTATGATAAGCTCAATATAATTCTCCAACATCTTCTAAACCACTGAAACTATCATAAATTTCAGAATATCTTTCCATTTAATAATAAAAAAGGAAAAGTATAGCTACTTCAGGTATTGGTTCAAATTTTAATTGCACCATTTTGGTTTTCCTTCTAAGAGCACAACAGATCACTGGCCTAATGAACAATTAGAGGTAAGAACTATGTTCAGCTGAACTGAGGGAGTGTTTCATGTGTAGATTATTAACACAGACAATAATATGCCTGTCAGTGCCATTTTTGTTTAATATGCCAGTAAATACTAAGGGAATTTTATAACCATATATGCAATATTTCAAAGCACACAAAATCCCTATGAAAGTTTTAGTGATGCATAGTTATTTCCAGACGTGTTGCCACTAGGCTAGAAGATCAAGCCATGCCTTGAATTTATAATACGAAAAAGGCCACAGAAGCTGTATGTAAAACATACTTTCATGAAAACCTATTAAAACTATATTTTAGTTTTGTTAAATACATCTCCATGTTCTTGGATTATGGCAGTGATTGTAACCTAGAAAATGACGTCTGAAACCATGCTACACTTCTAAGTCACTTTTCTGACCCAATCATTTTTATTCAATATGTTAAACTTAGTTTATCCATAGATCTATTAGCAGATGAGTAATATTTAACTTTTAATTCCTATACAGAATTCCTCTATTTTGTTCATTTTGTTATATGTACTGGCAGAACAATCAAAATAGAAGACTACATGTTGTTATACAAAGTTTTGTTAAAATCAAAAGCACACACAATGATCAAAATAAACGTCACAATTCTTAATTCATTATGCTTATAAATGCCAACTTTACTATAGCACAAAACTATATCTATATCATACACACCCACTATATTTTCTACATTCATCTTTAGCCTTCCCTCAGGCCAATGTTCAAACAACCTATCTGCCTGAACTACATTTCTCTGGTTCCTTTGAAATGTTTTGCACATCAAATGCATTTATCTGACTTCTGAGACACCTACTACCATTTTTATTTTCATCATTAATATATTGTCTTTCTCGTTGGTATCCATCCTTTTGTTCCCAGTTTTTCTTAATTTACTTGTGTTGTCTCTCTCATTGACTATAACTAAAACCGCTAGAAAAAACACAAAAAGCAAGTACCTGAGAACTCTGAAAAACAAGTAATAGATTAGGACATGAAGTCAAAACAATAGGAATGGCCAGTATAAAGGAATGACCAGTAGAGGCAATGAATGGATTAAATGGAAAAGCACCATCTAGTAGTAACACCTGTGCTGGCGCTGAGGTGCCACTATTAACTAGCTGTGTGACCCTGGGCAAGTCATCTAAATATTCTGACTTTCAGTTACCTTTCCATAAAATGAGAATAATGCCTCATCTACAAAATGGGCATAATGACACTTCCCTGCATCAAAAGGCTGTTGATGATGTTCAAGTTGGAACACATTTGCAAAAGCATTTCATAAAGTGAAACACCACACAAATCCCAGGCACCACAGAATCTAGTGATCTCCAAATGTTTTGATTACACACTAAATTAGTAAAGTCTCTGACCACAGAATCCAATATATATTTTACATATAAATTACATGTATACTATTAACCAAACATTATTTGTACTATAAAATAAAATAAGCCAATATAAAATAAGATATATACTTTAAATAATTTCATTTTTAAAGGTATAAGACTCCTTTAAATATTAATATTTTAACAAGAACAAGGTGATTGACTAGGCTTTATTAATGTAATTCTTAGTGATCTAGCAATTCAAAGAGTTGGTTCTAAGCCCAGTTTATTCTGATACATGGATGTAGCTGAAATAAGGTCTAAATGGGAGAAGTACACTGTGGCTTAGCTGAACTAAATCAGGATTCTATCTAGCCTATCTAGCAATTATGAAAAAGTTATTGTCAAAATTCATCTGGTAAATTTCTATTTTTTCCTGATATCAATCAGTTTATAAGCTAATCAGAAAGTTTTGCATTTTTACTAAATGGAGTTCAAAACAAAGGGGAACTATTTCCAAGTGTTTTAAGTATGTCAATGAAAGAGTTTTTCCAGGTGATATATACTACTTTTCACAAGAAAATAACGTAACAATAAAAATATTTCCTAGTACCTATTTTCAAAATCATCTCCACATAGCAAAAGTTTCTTTCATTGCTTGGCTTTAACCTGCATTGCAGGGCATGGAGGGGAGTTCCTTTCAGAAGGCAGTTACTTCTCACTCAGTTAAAATGTCATCTCTTCCCTAAATCAACAGAATTTTTACAAAATACATGGTAGGTTGCATAGCTATTTATCACCAAGAAAGAAAAAGCTCAAGAAAATTGGAAAAGCTGTATTTTTGTAAAAGAAAAGCACATAATTTACCTTTGAGCTTAAGGGTTCTTTTATATATTGTATCACAGACAATGAGCAAAACTATGGATGTATAAACAATAACTATGGTCACTCCCACCTCATTATAAAGTACTGCAAAGACTCTAATATATTTTAAAGGTCATGCTTTAGGAAAGTATCCACAGTGATACTACTTCGTGCAATTCTGGATTCAACTCTTCTCCTATACTAGCCTATGAATGATGTAGTAAACTCATTTCATGTTATCTCCATTACCTTACATTTGGAGAAAAGCAGCCACCACTCCTTCAATGGTCATTCTTACACACCTTTTCCAAAACACATCATTCTGTTAAATAAGCCATTACTGTTGCCAATACAGGCATACACTGCGTAAGGATATTTTAGTAAACGACGGACCACATATACGATGGTGGCCCCACAAGATTATAATGGAGCTGAAAAATTATTATTATCTAGTGATGTCACAGGTGTCATAACATCAACTAATTTTTTTATAAATTTAGTGTGGCCTAAGTATATGGCGTTAAAGTATACAGTAGCATACAGTAATGTCTGAGGCCTTCACATTCACTCTCCACTCACTCATTGATATCACCCAGAGCAATTTCCAGTCCTGCAAGTTCCATTCCTAGTAAGTGCCCTATACAGATCTACCATTTTTCATCTTTTGTGCTGTTTTGTTTGTTCGTTTTGTTTTGTTTTGAGACGGAGTCTCACTCTGTCACCAGGCTGGAGTGCAGTGGCACGATCTCAGCTCACTGCAACTTTGCCTCCCAGGTTCAAGCAATTCTCCTGCCTCAGCCTCCCGAGTTGCTGGGATTACAGGCGCCTGCCACCATGCCCGATTAATTTTTGTATTTTTGGTAGAGACAGGATTTCGCCATGTTGGCCAGGCTGGTCTCAAACTCCTGACCTCAGGTGATCCACCCGCCTCAGCCTCCCAAAGTGCTGGGATTACAGGTGTGAGCCACCGCGCCCGGCCTATACTGTATTTTTACTGTACTTTTCCTATGTTTAGAAACACAAATACTTACCAATGTGTTACAACTGCCTATAGTATTCAGCACAGTAACATGCTGTACAAGTTTGTGGCCTAGGAGCAATAGGCTATACTATGTAGCCTCAGGTGTGTAGTAGGCTCTACCATCTAGTTTATATAAGAATACTTTATAATATTTGCACAATGACAAAATCGCCTAACAAAGCACTTCTCAGACTGTATCCCCGTTGTTAATACACCTCACTGTATCTCTTTTCTGGTGCATTTTTCCTTTAGCAGCTCTTAAAAAATTGCCTATTCTCTCACTGAAAGAGAATCTTAACAAATACCCTAAGTTGTAACATGTTATAAATACCACAAATCTCCTTCCAACTTAGTACACCAAACTTTCTATCTGCAGGTTTTTTTTAAAAAAAAACTCTGCTTTAATGCTTTAGCAGTGTTTTCTATGCTCCTTTAACAACATTTGCTAATAAGGAATGCATTTTGTTTTGTCCTCATATTATTTCAGCCAGTTTTACTGTGGCAGGAGGAACATGAGTTTCCCCAATGGTCTGTGACTTTTTGTCTTTTGCTATTGAATAAGAAAACTCAAAAAGAGTTCTAAGCCTTTATCATTATGTTTAGTAAATTTTGTAAAAAATAATGCACTGGGCATCCTAGGACTTAAAACATTGAGAAAAAAAAATCACAGGGTTTGCCCTCATGTTCCGAATGTGTAGATTAGAGTGTCTTGCTGAGTATGGTTCTTCCATTAGCTAATTATCTCAAGGCACACTACATGTTAAGGACAAGGCTCACTGTTAAAGTAAAGGTGAGACTATATTTTAAATATTTTCTTGATAATTTTATATTTGTCAGTTGCAATTAGGTGGTAGTCATTTTTATTTTAGCTCTTTTTAGCTTTTTAAAATTTTTATTATTTTATTGTATATATTTAAAGTGTACAATGTGATGTTTTGTATGCTTATGTTGATATACCTACCATAATGAAGTGATTACTACAGTCAAACAAACATTAATATACCCATCATCTCATATAGTTACCTTGCTGGTGTGTGTGTGTGTGTGTGCATGTGTGTGCCTAAAATTTACTATCTTGGTAAATTACCAGTACACAACACAGTATTTTTAACTATAGTTCTCATGATCTCTAGAACTTCCTCATCCTACAAAACTGCAGCTTTATACCCTTTGACCTACATCTTTTCATTTCCCCACAACCATCCCGCCTTCAACCCGGTAACCCAGGTGGTCATCATTTTTATCACATAACATGCCTGGTAAATAACAAGAGAATGCAGCTCTACGATGATTATGTTGGTTCACTTGTGCTTGCACTTTTAATATTATCTACAGAAAATACTACTTCTTTACAGAAATCGTTTTAAGCCACTTGACCAATTTGTGAGAAGTGGTTAAATTAAAACTACAAAATATCATTATAGGTGCACTAAGCAATCACATATGAACAAAAATTCACTATAGCACACCACAAATGTGGTGGCACAGTCAACCCCATGCACCCGACTTTGGGAAATCCTGATGTAACCCCTACGGATATGTAGGTACAAGGCACTGGGCCATGTATGCTAAGTGGAGGATGGGAAGAGAGATAAGTCCTCGGGAATCCCCATTCTACCATGAACTCTGTATAGAACATTCTGCCTCCCCCTCTTCTCCTCACAAAAGCCTGATTCTTGCAAGGAAATTACTTCCTTGGCCAATTTTGAAAATACAATCTTCTCATTTTCCATGCCTTGCTACACCTGTTGCAAGGTCTGGGGGGCAATGTTAGCATTCTTATACTTCTTGTGCACCACTTCAGATCCACGCTTCTGTCTTTAAACTCCAACAGACACCAGTTTCTATTCTTCCAGAGTTTGCTCTCCCTTATTGCCACACCCAATCTTTAACATCATGGAGACCTCAGGTCCCAACTCCTCCCCTATCTCATCCTTCAGGTCCCATCCTTTCTCATTTCTTTTCCTATCTAGACTGGATTCCATGGGCCCATCACTTCAATTATTTTATCCTCAGTTCCTTTATCCCTGTTCTGACAATACCCAGGATCAATCTAACCATTTTGCTTCTGCACCCCAATACAAAGAAAACTAAGCAATGCTGGAAAATACAACTACATGAACTGGTTCCACTTCCAACCTCTACCAGACCTGCAGGGTTTTGCTCTGCAAATCTTTCAATGGTTCTCAATTGGTTTCCCACAGCAACCATTCCAAAACACCAAGTCCCCTACCCAATTCTCACTTCAATCTCCTCCTCAGCAAGACTTTACTCCCAACTTCACAGTAAAAACTGGTCTTATGGGCTTTTTTTTTCTGAGCTTCCAATCCCCAAGCTACAAATTTATCTCTGTCCAGCCCATCCTCATCTTTCTTCTCCATCTCAAAGAAATGGGTCTACCTGAGGCTAATCCCGTCTCCAACTGGCCTACACGAAATTTCATTACACAAATTATCCCTTTTATCTCTGAATCTTTGATGTCGTTTTATAAACTGAGACCCTCTTGATCTATAAAACATGATCAAGCTCCTCCCATCTCAAAAAGAAAACTCTGCCACAACCCTGAATCCTTCCCTTTTAGCCACTGTACTAATCAAAGAACTATGTTCACTTTATTTTTTCATTCACATAATTTTTTTAAATTTAATTTTTAAGTTCAGGGGTACATGTGTAAGTTCATTACGTAGATAAACTTGTTTCATGGGGGCTTGTTGTACAGATTATTTTGTCACCCAGGTATTAAGCCTAGTACTCATTCGTTATTTTTTCCTGGTCCTCTCCTTCCTTCCACCCACAACATAGGCCACAGTGTCTGTTGTTCCCTTCTACGTGTCCCTAGGTTCTCATCATTTTGCTCCCACTTATAAGTGGGAACATGTAGTACATGGTTTTCTGTTCCTGCATTAGTTTGCTAAGGATAATGGCCTCCAGCTCCACCTCTGTTCCTGCAAAGGACATGATTTCATTCTTTTTTTATGGCTGCATTCTAATCCATGGTGCGTATGTACCACATTTTCTTTATGCACTCTACCACTGATGGGCATTTAGGTTGATTCCATGTCTTTGTTACTGTGAATAGCACTGCAAGGAACATATGTGTACATGTGTCTTTATGACAGAAAGATTTCTATTCCTAAGGGTATATACCCAGTTATGGGATTGCTGGATCGAACAGTATGTCTGCTTTTAGGTCTTTGAGGAATTGCCACACTGTCTTCCCAACGGTTGAAGTAGTTTACACTTCCATCAACAGTGTATAAGTGTTTCTTTTTCTATGCAACCTCGCCAGCATCTATTATTTTCTACCTTTTAGTAATAACCATTCTGACTGCTATGAGATGGTATCTCATTGTGGTTTTGATTTGGATTTCTCTAATGATCAGTGATGTCGAACTTTTTTTCATATGATTGTTGGCTGGATGTGTGTCTTCTTTTTAAAACAGAATTTATTTTTATTTTTAAAACTTTTTTATTTTTAAATTGTGTGGGCACATAGTAGGTGTATATATTTATGGGGTACATGAGATACTTTGATACAGGCATGCAATGCATAATAATCATATCAGGGTAAATGGGGTATTCATTGCCTCAAGCATTTATCCTTTCTTTGTGTTACAAACTATCCAATTATACTCTTTCACTTGTTGAAAAATGTACAATAAATTGTTGACCTTAGACACTCTATTGTGATATCAAATAGATCTTATTCATTCTAACTATATTTTTGTATCCATTAACCATCCCCACCTCTCACCAACCATCCCCACCTCTCACCCCCCATCCCCACTACCTTTCCCAGACTTCTACTTTGTATCTCCATGAATTCAACCACTTTAATTTTTAGCTCCGTAAAAAAGTGAGAACATGCTAAGTTTGTCTTTCTGTGCCTAGCTTATTTTACTTACTATAATGACCTCCAGTTCTATCCATTTTGTTGCAAATGACAGGCTCTCATTCTTTTTTATGGTTGAATAGTACTCTGTTGTGTATATGTATCACAGTTTCTTTATCCATTGATCTTTTAATGGACACCAGTTGCTTCTAAATCTTAGCTACTGTGAATAGTGCTGCAATAAACATTTTCTCTTCAATATACTGATTTCCTCTCTTTTGGGTATATACCCAGCAGTGGGACTGCTGGATTATATGGTAGGTCTATTTTTAGTTTTTTGAGGAAACTCCAAATACTTTCTCCCCTTCTGTGGGCCGTCTCTTCTCTTTGTTGACCGTTTCCTTTGCTGTGCATCAGAAACTTTTAAACTTGATGTGATCCCCTATGTCCATTTTTGTTTTGGTTGCCTGTGCTTGTGGGGTATTTCTCAAGAAACCTTTGCCCAGTTCAATGTACTAGAGAGTTTCCCCAATGTTTTCTTTTAGTAGTTAGAGGTCTTAAACTCTTTAATGCATTTTTATTTGATTTTTGTATATGGCCAGAGATAGGGGTCTAGTTTTATTCTTCTGCATATGGATATCCAGTTTTCCCAGCACCATTTAATAAAGAGACTGTCCTTTCCCCAATGTATGTTCTTGGCACCTTTGTTGAAAATGAGTTCACTGTAGGTTTCTGTATTTGTTTCTGGGTTCTCTATTCTGTTTCATTGGTCTATGTGTCTGTGTTTATGCCAGTACCAGGCTGTTTTAGTTACTATGGCTTTGTAGTACAATTTGAAGTAAGGTAATCTGATTCCTCCAGTTTTGTTCTTTTTGCTCAGGATAGCTTTGGCTATTATGAGTCTTTTGTGGGTCCATATAAATTTTAGGATTGCTGGCTGGGCGCGGTGGCTCATGCCTGTAATCCCAGCACTTTGGGAGGGTGAGGTGGGTGGATCACAAAGTCAGGAGTTCGAGACCAGCCTGGCCAATATGGTGAAACCTCGTCTCTACTAAAAGTACAAAAAAATTAGCCAGGCATGGTGGCACATGCCTGTAACCCCAGCTACTTGGGAGGCTGAGGCAGGAGAATTGCTTGAATCCGGGAGGCAGAGGTTGCAGTGAGCCGAGATCATGCCACTGCACTTCAGCCTGGGTGACAAAACGAGACTCCGTCTCAAAAAAAAAAAAAAAAAAATTAGGATTGCTTTTTCTATTTCTGTGAAGAATGTCATTGGTATTTTGATAGGAATTGCATTGAATCTGTAGATTGCTTTAAGTAGTATGGCCATTTTAACAATATTGATTCTTTCAATCAATGAACACAGAATGTATTTCCTCTTTTGATGTATCCTCTTTAATTTCTTTCATCAGTGTTTTACAGCTTTCATTGTAGAGATCTCTCACTTCTTTGGTCACACTAATTCCTAGGTATTTTATTTTATTTGTTGCTATTGTAAATGAGATTAATTTTTTATTTCTTTTTCAGATTGTTCACTTTTTGCTTTTATTTTGAGATGGAGTCTTGCTCTGTCACCCAGGCTGGAGTGCAGTGGTGCGATCTCGGCTCACTGCAACCTCCACCTCTCGGGTTCAAGTGATTCTCCTGCCTCAACCTCTTGAGTAGCTGGGATTACAGGTGCCTACCACCACGCCCGGCTAATTTTTGTATTTTTAGTAGAGATGGGGTTTCACCATATTGGCCAGGCTGGTCTCGAACTCCTGACCTCAGGTGATCCACCCACCTCGGCCTCCCAAAGTGCTGGGATTACAGGTGTGAGCCACTGCGCCCAGCCTGTTCACTGCTGGCATAAATAAATGCGCCAATTTTTGTATGTTGATTTTGTATCCTGAAAACTTATTGAATCTGTTCATCAGTTCTAATAGGTTTTTGGTGGAGTCTTTAGGTTTTTCCAAATATAAAATCATATCATCTGCAAACAAGGACATTTTGACTTCTTCCATTCCAACTTGGATGCCCTTTCTTTCTTTCTCTTGTCTGACTGCTCTAACTAGGACTTCCACTACTGTGTTGAATCATAGTGGTGAAAGTGGGCATCTTTGTCATGTTCCAGATCTTAGAGGAAAAGCTTCAAGTATTTCCCCCTTTCACTATGATATGAGCTGTGGGTCTGTCATAAACGGTGTTTACTGAATTGAGGCATACCCGGTTTTTTGAGGGTTTTGTCATGAAGAGATGTTGAATTTTATCCGATATTTTTTCAGCATCAATTGAAATGATCATATGGGTTTTGTCCTTCACTTTGTTGATATAACGTACCACACTGATTGATCTGCATATGTTGAACCACGCTTGCATCCCTGGGATAGATTCCACTTGGTCATGACGAATGATCTTTTAAATGTGTTGTAGAATTCGGTTTGCTAGTATTTTGTTGAGTATCAATATTCATCAGGGATACTGGCCTGTAGTGTTTTTTTTTTGGTTTTGTTTTGTTTTGTTTTTGATGTGTCTTTGTCTGGTTTGGGTATCAGGGTAATACTGGCCTCATACAGTACATTTGGAAATATTTCCTCCTCTATTTTTCAGAATAGTTTCAGGAGGATTGGTATTAGTTCTTCTTTAAATATTTGGTAAAATTCAGCAGTGAAGCCATCAGGTCCTGAACTTTTTTTTTGCTGGGAAATTTTTATTACAGCTTCAATCTTATTACTTGTTATTGGTCTGCTCAGGTTTTGGACTTCTTCATTGTTCAATCTTGGAAGATTGTATGTGTCGAGGAATTTATCCGTTTCTTCCAGGTTTTCCCATTTCTTGGCATAGTAGCTTCTAATGATCCTTTGAATTTCTACGGTATCGGTTATAATGTCTTCTTTTTCTTCTCTGATTTTATTTGGATCTTTTTTTCTTAGTCTGGCTAAATGTTCGTTAGTTTTGTGTATATTTTCAAGAAACCAACTGTTTGTTTCATTGAACTTTGGTATTGTTTTCTTTGCTTCAATTTCATTTATTTCTGCTCTGATCTTTATTATTTCTTTTCTTCTAGTAATTTTGCGTTTGGTTTGCTCTGGCTTTTCTAGTTCTTTAAGATGCATCATTAGGTTATTTGGAGTTCTTCTACTTTTTTAATGTAGATGCTTTAGCTATATCATTTACAAATTTTAAACCAGTGTCTGATACACAGCTGACATGTAATCAAGGAATCCACTAATTAAGGAATTAATAACTAGATTCGTACATGCCTACCAATAAATATACTTCCATGAAAGCCTCTCTTCACTGAAGACTTCTGCCAGTGGTCCACATTTGGCACTAACTAACACTACAGAGTGGTTAGAAGTTCTCAAATGGACAGACTATGAGAAGCTAAAGCTTCTGTCCTAACCACCTTTCCACCTTCAATTATGCCACTCTACCTAATCATTTCAAACCAAGTTCATTATTATTGCTTTTACTATTCCTGATAGTAAATAATTCCTAATTCATGAATAAAGGAGATTACCAGAATTCGATTTAGACGAACAGTTTTAGGATCAGCCATAATGATTCTCATGGTTCTCACTGATTATGAGAAAGAGCATTTCATTAAAAATGTATTGTCAATGGAAGCAACTAGACAGAAGCTGACCTCCCATCAACCAATCTTCAAACACTTTTGGATTTAGCCAGTTTATCCTCGGTAGTCCCACTGTCTTCTCACCAGTTTATAGGAAACATCTCATGGACTTAAGCTGAGAAGATATTTTTCTGATCAGATGAGGAGAATGTGAAAAATGCTCTTCTGTTTTTAAAGGGTGCACTCTCAAAAATCTGCAAATGCAATGCAGTTTGAGAGGTAAGTACCAGGTGTTAGGAAACCTAATGAGACCCTTAATGTAGCCAATATGTAAAAGAGAGAGGAAATGGTTAGAAGAGTGTCAGGAAACATAACGCTGAGGAGGAGATTATTTAGAGATGAATTACTACAAGTATGAATCAATAACGTTAAAAGGAGCAGGGGAGGAATGTTAGAGGATCTTAATGTCTTGGAGAAAATGTTGGCACATCTGTGAAGTGTAGTATTTAGGAAAACAAGTACTAATATGCAGTACTCATGGTGGGACAGCACGGGGAGGCATGGAAAGGGCCAGAGTATGAAGAGCCCTTATATGCCTTGCTAGAGTTTGTCCTTTACTCTGGGAGAAATCGAGTTCTTTTACATTCTCTTTTTTAAGGGGCATGGTATATTCAAACACATTTTATTTAACAGTGATTTTCAGAATAATAGAGGCTGAGCACTCAGGAGTATACTGAAGTCAAGTAAGTCAGAAATGATCATTGCAATCAACAAAGGCAGTAGAAGAAGAGATGGAATAAGAAGAATGGATTTGGAGGATAATTACAAAGTAGAACTGACCATATATGGTAACCTATCAACTGTAACTAATGTTTCTCCAGAAATGGAAGAACTTTCTCATCTACAATTAAAGCAGCTGCGCAGGATCACCAAACTAAGGAACTACTTGTCCACCTTTCCCCCACCAGAGAAAATAAAAAATGTCATCATAGAAGACAGTCTTTTTATGTTTCAATTTTATTTCCAACTTAGCATATTCTAACCTCCTAACCTTCCCTGCTACAGTTTTGTGGCCCATTATCTTAACAGCCACTAAGAAGCAAGTCCAAAGAAATATATGTGGTATGGAAAGACTACCTTATAAAAAGATGAGGATTATGGCAAGTGACTCTTTCTCGATCTGCATCTGCTAATTCTTTGTCTCCTCCAGATGAATTCTGCACCAACTATGAATCTCTATCCAAAAAACATGAACCATGTTACAAAGAATTTTCCCCAAAATCACACACTCTAGAGCAGATCACACATTTAACCTGGAGAAAGGGCATTGGCTGACATTTCACACAATCTAGTCCTTCTTTATGTAAGAAATGGTGGGTCTTAAAATTCCACAATCTCCAATAGATACAAATGATCTGTTCTTAGAAGCTTCATCCAGTGCCTTGGGCTGATCCTGTATGGAACTGTCACATGGGAACTCCCTTAAAAAGGGTCATGACAGATAGAAGAGGCAAGAGGGATGCAGAAGTGAGGTTCTGGTGCTACCTTTACAATAGCCTTTTTAAAGCCGCGTTATTATCACATGATTCTGCTCCCCTTCCCTTTCTGAAGTATCATGGAAGAAGCCTCTTGAAGTGCTACTCTCTATAGCTTCCTTTGATCATCTTGAGAACCAACAGGAAACTTGGGCAAAATGAGAGCTCTCGTGATTGGGTCAGTTCTACTTCTGGATGGTTATTTTAATTTTTAAGGTTCTAAATTCTGTAATTCAGGCCAACCATGAAAGACAAATCATAGAGAAAATAAAAGTATATCTCATTTTCAAACCAAGGACCATGAACTCTGCATTAACCCCTTAACAATTTTTCACCCACTGCCCCCAACACCCTCCTCAGAGCCACGGTTTTGTGCCTTTTATATATTGGTCACCTTTAATTTTTTCATGTTCAAGGGAGCTGTCATCTAAGCAGCTACAAGAAACCTTTCCTTCTAATCTTGTTCAGTTCCCTAAGAAGCTAGATGATATTTAACACTAGCTTTTTCATAATACTTATTTTAGACAGGAACCTAGTAAATATCCTACAGTGAATAAATAAAGTAGTTATGTGGAAAGAGTGGGACGGGCTTTCAAACCAATACTGGTGATCTCATACTTAGAACATGTAAAAAAAAACACCTCTGTTTACTCTAAGGCCATAATTTCTCCTTATTTATTTATTTATTTATTTTCTGAGAGAGACAGAGTTTCATTCTTGTTGCCCGGGCTGGAGTGCAATGGCACAATCTCGGCTCACTGCAACCTCCACCTCCTGCAGGAGAATCAAGCGATTCTCCTGCCTCAGCCTCCCGAGTAGCTGGGATTACAGGCGCTTGCCACCACACCCGGCTAATTTTGTATTTTCAGTAGAGACAGGTTTCTCCATGTTTGTCAGGCTGGTCTCGAACTCCCAACCTCAGGTGATCCGCCTGCCTTGGCCTCCCAAAGTACTGGGATTACAGGCATGAGCCATGGCGCCTGGCCAATTGCTCCTTTCTTAACGTACCAACAGACATGCTGATAACTTTAAAATAGTTTTAACAGCAAAATGTCCCAGCAAATGTGAGTACAACCCATTAGTATCTAGTTTAATAAGAATTTCCCCACAAAAACAAAACCCAAAAAACTTGGATTAACAAGAGGCTATGTGAAGTTAAAATTGTAAGTGGGCAGTTGGAACCCTGTTAAAATGTCAAGTTTAACTATAAATTTCTCGCTAAAAAAAAAACAAAAACAAAAACAAAAATCCCAGTCTGGCTCTTAAATCTAGAAATAAGGTAGAATGTAGGCAATGTTAACCAAGGCACGAATCTGCTAAACTTGTGAAGGTCCACACATGGCTGGTGTCTGGGAGGTTGAAAGTTTCCAGCTCAACAAATGAAAGGTCATGTGTCCAGTTTTTTAAGATAACAGGCAATTACTGATTGAGATCTTAGTAATACTGCCTCACCCAGGTGAAAAACATCCAGAGGAAATGAATCTAGAGTTAAGAACTACTGTGAAGAATGGGCTCTGATTCTCACTAAATATTTAGCTTTATTAACTCTATGATCATGGCCCCCATGATAGACAAACTGCACAGTTTAACCCATATATTTTAAAAGGCCCACTACTGCCCCACTTCCCACCAAACTTAGTTTATTGAACATGTCCTTTAAAAACTGTAAGTTAGGGCTTTGCATATTAATGTTTAAAATAAGGAGCAAGTGGTGAGTTATTGCACCATAGATCACTCATATAAATACTCTTACCAAGTATATACTGCTCCATTATTTGTAGCTCTTTTTTTATCTTTTAAGAGACAGGATCAGGCTCTGTCATCCAGGCTGGAGTACAATGGCATGAACACGGCTCACTGCAGCCTTGATCTCCTGGGCTCAAGCGATCCTCCTGCCTATGCCTCCCCCAAGCAGCTGGGACTACAGTCATTCACCACCATGTCTGGCTAATTTTCTTATTTTATTTTGTAGAGATGGGGTCTTGCCATGTTGCCCAACTGGTCTTGAACTCCTGGCCTCAAGCAATCCTCCCACCTCGGCCTCTCAAAGTGGGATTACAGGCGTAAGCCACCACGCCTGGCCTATTTGTTGTTTTTATTGACCTTTCCTTGGTCACTGACTCTGGGATAGGATCTGGTTGTAAGTTAACTTGGCTATAGGCTAGGTTATGCTATGCTAACAAATAAACCCGAAAAACCAGTGTCTTAATACAACACAGGTTTACTTCTTGCTCATGCAAAATCCTCTGCAGGTCAGGCAATTCTCCTAAAATGACACTTGAGTGTCCCAGGTGTCAACCATCCTGTGTAACCACCATCTCAAACATGAGCTTTCAAATTGCTTCAGCAAGGAAAGGGAGAGCAAAGAGTGCTTACATGCAATGGTTTATGCTTTGACCACTTGCCTCAATCATGTAACAATCAAAGCTGAAAAATCCAGTCTTTCTTTGTTCCAGGGAAGATAAAAATGAAACGGAACTCAGTTAACTGAGGTCTGTCTTTGCCACAATGACAAGATCTATTGTGAAAATGATATGAGGTAGCTACTATTACCATCTCTTCTTATAATTGAGGAAACCAAAGCTCAGGGATATAAGTAACTTCTCCATAGCTAGAAAGTGATGGAGGCTCTCAGCAAACTAACACAGGAACAGAAAACCAAACACTGCATTTTCTCACTCATAAGTGGGAGTTGAACAATGAGAACACATGCACACAGGGAGGGGAACATCACACACTGGGGCCTGTTGGGAGGTGGGGGGCTAGGGGAGGGATAGCATTAGGAGAAATACCTAATGTAGAAGATGCGTTGATGGGTGCAGCAAACCACCAGAGCACGTGTATACCTACATAACACACCTGCACGTCCTGCACATGTATCCCAGAACTTAAAGTGTAAGAAAAAAAAAAGAAAAAGGATTTGTGGTACACAATTATCCCTCTAGGACCATATAAACCAGATTACAATGGCCTAAAATAAATTGATCTAAATTTTTTTTAAAATTTTAGCCAGTAAATTTTAAATATGTCATAAATCCTTTATTTCCATGAAATTTTAAAGAGGGTCTAGTGCTATATTAAGAGTTAAAAAAGATAAATCATGTCAAGTTTAAAATGAATAAATTTGGGTAGTCAAAGGAAAAAAAAAAGAGAAAGTGATGGAGGCATGTCTATTTAATTCTAGAGCTTCAACCTTTAACCATTATATTCTGTCTGCTGTTCATGCAGAACCTGCACCAGAGCATTACCATAAGGTTGAAGTCAGCAGAAAAGTTAAAATTTTTCTTTGGCATAAAATAAGGTTGTGTTCCAACTCTCATCTTTTAACAAGTGACTTAATGATATGTTATAAACTGAGCAAGATACATGTTCTTGCTAAAGAAAACAGAAAAACAAATATTCTTTTAAAAACTAATAGGTTTTATTATCCTAAACTAGAAATGGCTTTAGCAGACAACTGGAATGCTAGTTCATTATTATCAGAAAGGATTACAGACCAATGATTCCTAACCCTAAGCTTTGTTTCTGCATCTAACAATCTCATAAAATAAATTATCATATGTAGTTACCTTGGTGTACTTACCACAGATGATTTATCTTGAAGGGCATGTGAGAAAAGAACATTGCTCAAAACTAGGGCATTGCTCAAAGTTTCAAGGGAAATTTTTGCTTAAACTGGATACTTGCTTAGCCCACCATATTTAGCTAGGAATCCTCATAATGTTCCTGGAGTACTTACCCTACCACAGATCAACCTTCATTTTTCATTTTTCTTTTGCTTCTACTTTGAAGATCAACTGTTACTTAAACATATGTTCTCAATCCAATTTGCAATACAAAATATCTGCACTCTGATACTTCTTAGGTAGTATAACTTTGAACTCATTGCTATGTACTACTACTAAAAACTAAGCTGAAGCTAGGCACAGTGTCTCATGCCTATAATACCAGCACTTTGGGAGGCTGAGGTGGAAGGATCACTTGAGCCCAGGAGGAGTTCAAGAGCAGCCCGGGTAACATGGCGAAACCCTGTCTCAACAAAAAATACAAAAATTAGCTGGGCATGGTGCCACATGGCTATGATCCCAGCTACTCGGGAGGCTGAGGTGGGAAGATTGCTTGAGCCCAGGAGGTAGAGGCTGCAGTGAGCCATGATCATGCCACTGCACTCCAGCCTGGTCAACAGAACAAGACCCTGTCCCCCCAAATAAATAAATAAATTAATTAATTAATTAATTAAATTAAAAACTGAGTTGAGACATACAATATTTAGAGAGAACTGCTCAAAAGGCACACAGGCCATCCATTTACAGATATTCTAAAATCTAGCTCTTGGTCAAGTCATAGCAACAGAAGTCTAGGTACCTGAACCACACTGTAATGACTACGTAGGAACTGCTTTTACTGAATTGTACTTTGGTATGATAACAACAGTCCATGTAAAAGAAAGTCCCAAGAAACCACAGCTACCAAGACATTGTCTAGGAAGCTGTAACAGCATCCAAGAAAATCTATTCTGAGGAATGGGTTTATTTTATCTTATGAACCCAGTCACCTAGTGTCATTGACAACAGAGCTCAGAGCCAAATGTACAGCCTATCAACAGACAAGTATCAAATTCCCATTGCTACGCTTTCCCTGACTCCATTTTTTATCCATCTCCTACCTTTTTTTTTTCGTTTTTCTTTTCCTTCTACTTTTAATTTCTGTTTTACTGTTTTGTGATAATATATATGTATTATATAAACTGTTTTAAATCCTTTTCAAAACAAAGCAGGGAAACACAGAAATAAAAAGATCAAGAGAGTTTCCTGGGGTCCTTTAAAGGATCCCTTCTAGGATCCAGATCCATTTGTAACACTCTGGATAGAATTATATATATCTAATCATTAAAGGTTCAGGACGAACTAAAGCCAAGTGCTTTTATCTATAAGAATTTAATTACTTAGACCTGACCAGGAGTTGGCAAATTTTTTGAGTAAGACATCTATTGCTATGTGGTTAGGCTGATGTTTCTAAGAGGTATGTAAGAGGCACTTGATTAAAAGATTGTTACTGAAACTGCAACCACTCACTAAATTTTACCTGGTATACATTTCCTTTCTGATGCTAGAAACTTTTTGAAGACAAATCTGACTCAATGATTAAAAGATGAGAAGCAAGAAATGCGTTGTTACTTTTGTTTATAAACTACCATGGCAAGTTGCTACTTACTTAGGGAGGAAAAAGGGGAGGAAAGAATAATTTTGACCAAGTACATGGCATCTCCAGGACTTGAAAAGGGCTCAAATAAAAAATGGGAGAAAAATATTTCCCTAGAGATACATACTGAATACTGAGTGGAGCTAGGAAGCTAGGAATTATCTAAGAGTTTACTAACAGTGGCAGAGGTGCAAGAAGTATCTTTTCAAAAAAAAATTTTTAAATATATTGATAAGGCAGCGGTTGTTAACATTATGATAAGTTATTGGAGGAAGAGGGGTAAAAGCAAGAAGGTCAGTTTTGTAAAGAGGTTAATCAAAGAGTTGTCCTGCTGGGTTTGAGCCCATTAGTATTAAAACCCTGATCATGCTTCTGCTTACTAGAGATCCTGTAGCTCAAAATCCCGGTAAAGGAGGGAGTCCCGATGACCAACATACAGAAATTGAGTATCCTAAAAACTGATGAGTAAAGGGTGCCCCCAAGAGAGACCTGAATTATAGAAAGGAAGAGAGTCACAATCCCATCTGAAAGCCAGGCAACTAAGTTTTTCTCCCAGTCTTACTAAAATTCCAGCATTGTAATGGTACCTACTGTCTGCAGAAGAGGAAGCACCAAAGAATACCCTGAGAGACCAATGTAAGCAGGAGGAAGAATACAAGCTTTCCCCAAGCAGGTTGTAACAAGGAGAGGGATAAAAAGCCTTTCCACGATAGGACAACACAAGAGTCACTGTGGATCCAGATTTCTCAACCTCGGCGCTACTGACATTTGTAGCCAGATAATTCTTTAGTGTAGGAGGCTGTCTTGTGCATTGTAGGATGCTTGGCAGCATCCCTGGCCTCTACCCCTTAGATGGCAATAGCATCCCTAACAATTGTGACAACCAAAAAAATGTCTGCAGACATTGCCAAATGTCTACAGGGGGGGCAAAAATCACCCCTATGCTATGGATGAAATAACAAACAGCTTCCAGTGTTAACTCGCTCTCTTGGTAAACAGCACTCCCAAACCACCTCATCTCCTGAACCAGGAAACAGAGACAAAACAGAAGAATTTGTAGGAAAAATAACAAGTTCAATTTTGCATATGTCAAGATGTGAGATAGCAAATGGAGATGTCCAAAAGATAGTTGGGATAAATGAGACTGGAAACAAGAAAAGAGGGCTTGGCTAGAGAAACAAACCAGAAAACCATTAGCTACATTAGCTCAGAAAAAGCCTCTGAGAAAGGTTTTCTTGAATCTTCAGCCAAAATAAAAATCTCTCAATAGATGATGATTATTACCCTACACAAACTCTACCTAGTACTTAATTAAACAAGAAGCCCTTGATGGATTTAGTCTACTGCAGGGTAATGCAGTACTCAAGCACAATTTTTACCTTCATCTGGACAAACTTGCCATATGTTAAGGTCTTAAGGGTAAACTCTCATATATCCTTACTAATCGATATGTAGCAATAATTTTCCCATTTGGCATATGCTTCCTCTTTTGACTCTTAGTTCTCAAATCCATTGTTCCATAGTCTATCTGTTCTGAACAGATATTTGTTCTCTACTGCTGCAGATACATAATTAGTAAAAGCAGATGCAATTTTCAACATTAAGAGTTACACAGAGTGAGTTTTCCAACATTATCATTAAAGAAATTCTATACTAGAAGGCTGAAAGACTCCAAATCAATTCTTTTTCTTTAACAGAAACCTCTCTTAACAGTTTGAATACACCTCAGTTCAAAAGCCTATTTTCCTGAATGTCTGTTTTTGATTGAGAAAATTTACTTAAATGTAATTTTCCAAAAATTAGAAGACACATTTCTACATATGAATAAGTTCACTTGTTAAAAACCTATTCAAAATGTTTTATGAAGAGTTACATTTCATGTAAAAATAGCAGTGAAGAAACAATTTTCCTAACTTAAGACATATAATATGGTTAACAAAATATAGTCAAAGCAAAATAAATCTGAAAAAGTAAATAGGGATACTTTGCATATGTTATGTTCAGTTTAAACTTGTTCCCTGTGCAAAATCTTCCCCCACTGTGTTTTCTTTCATTTTTTCAACTAGCTTAAAAATTTTTTTAAGTGAGGTAAGTTGAAATTTTGTTCTAGAATAGTCTTTTAAAATATCAACCAGTTCACAGAATGTGCACTCAGCTTATCTCCACAGTTATACCATACCAACAGACTGATACACATTCAGTAAGGATAGGTATAAAGAATGGTTACATTTCCTTTTAGATATGATAAAATATTACACAGAGAACATAACTCCACAGACATTCCAAAGAGAAAAATTAAGTTTAGCATTTTTCTGACCACAAAGTACAGAATAAGCAGATTTTTAGGACCTACTTTTGTGTATATAATCCTTATTAAAAATAAAAGGATATCATAAAATTAAAATATCAGTAAACATCTGCTTTTCTTTATATGTTCCTTAGGCTAAGATTATAAAATCAAATATGATTTTTACTGAAGGGAATTACTAGCCATCCCCTAACAACCCCATCTTTTCCTCACATAAGAAAATGCAAATTATGTCTAATTTGTGTTCACCGATGAATCTTATCACTTAAAATTACAACACAGCTAGAGAAGCAAGAGAAGGAAAAGTAGTGAAGTGTGTTTAAAAGTTATTCTTTCTTACCAATATGTTGCTGTAGAATCCAAGCGTTTGAGGCACGAGCAGAGAGCATCCTTTCAACAGCTGGTGCAAGTGTCTTCCAATTAGTAAACTCCAAAGTGAAGATAAGGGTGTCAATGCTGACTGAGTCAATCCTATGTTAGCAAGATGTTAATATAATATTAGAAACAAAACATGCCAAGGGTTCGTACTTGAAACAAACACCACATACCTATTCTTACAAAATCTCAATGAGGAGGGCAGACAGAAAACCAGGGCATGTTAAGTATTTATGTAACTAGAGGCAAGATCAGAGGATATTAACAATCATCTACAGGTTCCTATTAACTGAATTGACTTTCTATGTAGCTGTCTAAGAGATGACAAGAGGAACCTCAGAGAGAGTAGGAACTTTCCTTCTCATGGGTGACAGCACCAATGACATCAGTGGATTTGCCATTATTTCCTCCCATTTGGACTATCTTGCCAAATGTAAATTGACCATCCTTACAGACATATAATTTAATAATCCTAAAAGGATAAAGCCCAAACACCCCAAGTTATCCCTAAACTGAGTGTACAAGTGTACAAGTATGGCTTGTTTCTGCCCAACTCCCAGGGATGCACAGCTGTTCTCCTCTAAGAACCTTCCCCCCATTATAAATTCAGCCCTAAACGATGTAACAGAATAAGACTTGTCTTTAAGGACTGAAAGAAGGGGTTCCAAACAGGCCTTCCTCTGTTCTTTCAAAATAACGTCAGATTCCCTACCAACCCACTCAAAAGAGGCTAACCCAAAATTTATAAGCACTTGAAACCTAATGGAAAGAGCACTGGCTTAAGAAAAGTCTTGATGTTTAATACTGCTTCTGCTACTTATAAACAGGTTGCCTGAATTATTTAAACTCTCGCTCCTGCTTTTTAAAATGAGAATAATACATAAGCTGCCCATTTCAGGGAACTATATGTGAAAATAATATGAGATAACATAGTAAACATACTTTTAAAACTATAAAGTATTATACGAAAAATTGGTATTACCAGAAACGATTTGAAAACTTCAGTATTATATTTTTAGAAGCTTTAAAATTTAGTCAAACCTTTAAAAGAACTCTAAATCCTAACAAGATTACTTATCCTGTATTCAATTAGACCCCCCCTACCATCACAATGGTTGGAGAAAAAAAAGTCACTAGGGCTTCTAGTAATTACTACCAAAACAGAAATTCTTCTCAAGGTCACCTCTTTGGAGGTATTACGGAGCAACAACAACTGAAGAAGGAAAGGAAATACAAGGAAAGAAGATAAACTGAATAACAATCTAAGCTCACCATCTCAAAGACACTTCTGGTAATTTGGAGTCAAAATATCTTTGAAATGATGGACTAAAGATTATGAAAATTATTTCCCAAATTCTTAATTCTCCAATAAGCAAACATCTAAGGAAGAACTTAAAGGGCAGCACAGATGTCTTGGGAAAACATTTTATTTCTCAGCATATCTCAGTGAAATCACAACTTATCAGAAATACTGAGGATAAATGAAATGATACAATATATTCAAAGACAAACAATTTCCTTGACTTTCTAGGGGTCCCAAACCAAAGGTTACTTGGTTCTGGTTCTTTATTTTTTTTTTTAACGATTTCATTTTTCTGCCTTAATGCACTTTAGGTCTTACTGTGACCAAACACAAAGTCATTTTTATGCAGTTATCTGAACATATACATGACAAGTAAATCTGTTTGCACAGTTTAGTTAATATAACGGTGAGTTTATTTTACCAACACTGATAATGCCACTAAAAATGTATTGTTACTTTACTACAGAGACCATTACATTGTATAGACCAGTTGTACAATCATAAACGAGTGACATTTAATCAACTAAATGCACAAATGACATTTATGTTCTATTATCCCATTAAATGGGGGTGGGGTGCGCAGGCAGAGGAATACTTAGTCTTGCATTTAAATATTGTGACAGGCAATTATTCAGCCAGATACATTTTCAAGACTGTTTAAGACAAGCAATACCCAGAAAATATGTTTATAATTTACGTGACAAAGATTAAGCAACAGACCTACATGTGATATAAATAACAATCAAAATCTACTTTAACAACATATTGGAATTTTTATAGAATGTTTCTTATAATAGCTCTTTGAATGTAAATTTGATCAAAGAAAGCAAAACATTTATCATATGCAGTGTAAACATTGGCTTTACCCATTCAATAAAAAAGATCAGTGAACAAAAATTTGACCATGTTAAGCATTTTCATTGCTAAAGTTAAATTTTCCACTGTATTTTTTCTAATGAATATAAAGTAACCAAAGTTACTCCTCAGGAGTAAAAAACATGTAATTGGCATTCTGCATTCAGAATACCGAAAGTTTCACAACTTACTTCAAAATAGTTTCTACTTTACTAGTTCTTAATTCTTTTCTATTTCACATATCCGATAAATACAGCACACACCCAATGGCTTATTGCGACAAAAATTCTCAACTGTTCACAAGTGGGGGAAAATGGGGGAGCAGTATCAGAATTGGGAAAGGGGGGATAAATTACAAAGCCTTCTAAGAGAATAAAGCTAAATAAATCCTTCTGCCTCCAAGTAGTCCATTTAGTTGGCTGGGGAGGAAAGGAAAATAGGCAATGTTTGATTTTTTCCCCCTGCTTAGGTTTTTCCTAATTTAGGAGCAGGAAGAAGCAAGAAAAATTGGCACAAATCCCTCAGGTTAGGCAAGGGATTAAGGATTACTAAAATTGAGTAATAGAACTATAGATAGCCCTCCACATCCTAAGAGTCAACCAATGGTAGATTGAGAATACTAACAACAATAATGAAAAATAACAATACAACAATAAAAAATAACACAAATTTAAAATACAGTACAACAACTATTTACATAGCATTTATAAGGCATTAGGTATTATAAGTAATCTAGAGATGACAAAGTATATGGGAGGAAGTGCATAGACTAGACACAAATACTATGCTATTTTATATAAGGGACTTGAGCATCCATGTGTCAGAGGTGTATGAACCAGAGCAACTCCATCTTGAATAGGGGCTAGGTAAAATAAGGCTGAGACCTATTGGGCTACATCCCCAGGAAATTAAGGCATTCTTAGTCACAGGATGAGACAGGAGGTCCGCACAAGATACAGGTCACAAAGAACTTGCTGATGAAACAGCACTTGGTAAAGAAGCTGGCCAAACCCCATCAAAACGAAGATGGTGATGAAAGTGACCTCTGGTCATCCTCATTGTTCATTATATGCTAATTATAACGCATTAGCATGCTAGAAGACACTCCCACCAGCCCCATGACAGTTTACCAATGCCATGGAAACTTCAGGAAGTTACCCTATAGTATAAAAAGGGGGAAACCCTCAGTCCTGGGACTTGCCCACCCCTTTCCTGGAAAATTCATTCATGAATAATTCACCCCTTGTTTAGCATGTAATCAAGAAGTAACAATAAGTATAAGCAGCTCAGCAGCCTGTGCTGCTGCTCTGCCTATGAAATAGCCATTCTTTTGTTCCCTTACTTTGTTAATAAACATGATTTCACTTTACTCTATGGACTTGCCCCGAATTCTTTCTTGCACGAGATCCAAGAACCCTCTCTTGGGTCTAGATTGGGACCCCTTTCCAGTAACACATAGATTTTGGTATCTGAGGGGGATGAGACTCAAGGCATAATTTACCTTAAATTCCTGCCAGCTGTGAGCCTGTGAAATCAAACAAGTTATCTACTTCCAAAATTCAATGGTGGGACAGGCATAAGACAAACATTCCCATTCCAAAAGGGAGACATATCCAAGAAGCAAAGAGTAATAGGACCCAAGTAAGTCCAAAATTCAAGAGGATTACCTTGAGACTCCAAGATAATCTTCCCTGACTCCACTTCAGGGCTTCCTGGATAAACTGGGATGGAGGCTGAGCCTCCACTACCTCAGGAAGCTCCACCCCTATGACTTTGCTAGGCTCAGTCCCACCCCTATGGCGCCCCTATGGCTTTGCTCAGACTTCAGCTCTCCCAAGATGGCACTTCATGCTGGTAGCTCTACAGTCCTGAGGTCTCAATGGCAGCCCTGCTCCCATGGGTCCTCTAGGCATTGCCCTGGTAGAAACTTTGTGGCAGCTCTAACCCTATATTTCTACTGGGCATTGCTCTAGAAAGGCTCTCTGCAGTGGCTCTTCTCCTGGGACAGGTCTCTTGCCTGAGCCCCCAGACTGTTTTCAACAACCTCTGGAATCTAGGTGGAGGAATCCATGCCCCCACAGCTCTTGCATTCTACATGCCTACAGAATTAGTACCACCCCACAAACCCTCCTGAAAACCAATCTGACCTCCTAGAGCCCTGGGCCTGTGATGGGAGGGACAGCCTCAAAGATCTCTGGAATGCCTTCAAGGTTTTTTTCTAATTGTCTTGATGATATCTTCTATTTGTACAAATCTGCTCAGCAAAGGGTTGCTAGTCACAACGTTGGGTTCCTCTCCTGAAAATTCTCTTTCATTCTTTTCCACACAGCCAGGCTGAGAATTTTCCAAAATTTTCTACTCTTCTTCCCTTCTAATTATATTATGTCCTAAGTCATTCCTTTGCCCTCACATCTCTCTATAAGTGGCCACAAGTAGCCATGCAGCAGCCTGAATGCTTTGCTACTTAGTTATTTCTCCCACCAGATAGCCTAGTTCATCACTCTTAAATTCAGCCTTCCATAAAGTCCTTAGGCATAGACACAGTTCATCCCAGTTCTTCACTAATTAATAACAAGGATGGCCTTTACTCCACTTTCCAACAGGGTATTGCTAATTGTCATCTGAGACCTTGTCATAATGGCCTTTGCTATCCATACTTCTATCAACATTTTGGTCACAACCACTTAAATAATCTCTAAGAAGGTTGAGACTTTCCTAGTCTTCTCATCTTATGAGCACTCACCAGAATCACCCTTAACACTCCATTTACGGAAATATAGGCTTTTTCTAGACTGTTCTTCCAAACTTTACCAGCCTCTACCCATTACCTAGTTCGAAAGCTACTTCTATATTCTTAGGTAATCGTTATGAGCAACAGCCCCACTTCTCAGTACCAAATTTCTGTCTTAGTCCATTCTCTGTTGCTATAACTCAATACCTGAGACTGGGTAATTTATAAAGAAAGTACATTTATTTCTTACAGTTCTGGAGACTGGGAAGTCCAAAGTCAAGGGGCCCATCTGATGAGGGCCTTCTTGCTGTGTCATAACATGGCAGAGGTCATCACTCGGTGAGAGAACAAAAGCATATCAGCTCCAGTCTCTCTTCTTATAAAGCCACCCACCAGTCCCATCACTGGGGCACCATCTTGATGATCTTATCTAATCCTAATTACCTCCCAAATATCTCACCTCCAAATATCATCAACAAATGAATTTGAGGACTGTTTCCAACACCTGAAATTTGAGACACATTCAAACCACAGCAGTAGGTATCAGACAGTTTCTATGTTTTGGTTACAGAAATAAATAAATTAGAAACCAGAAAGGAGCATGAAGGCTGAAAGTACTGGGCAAGTCATATCGAATCAGAGTTAATAGCTTTGGTAGAAAAACACAAGGAGTGTTTCTAAGAAGACAATTAGTGCCTTAGGGACAGACATCACACGGGGTAAGAATTGAAACACGAAAGTGAAGACTTCTAGATATTTTATTGAAATTCTATAAAATAACAAGTCCTCTATTTTCCTGAAGACTTCCATTTTATTTTCTCATTTGACTTGAATTATTAGGCCAAGAGTCCTCTCGCTACTACAATTACTTGTGTTAGGACACTAACAATTTTTGCAAAGGCTGGAGGTTAATAGAAAGAGTCTTCTTCTTGCCCCCCAAAAAATTCTGACTCGGCGTTTGTATAATCTCTCACTGAGGGTTGCCCTTCTGAGGAACTACCTGAAGTAAACAAACTATAGTCTCAGATACTTCAGAAATCAGTATTTATTAAGGGTGACAAGTTTCAAATACACAGGATGCTGTACGGCAGGACTATTCAGTCTGGTTGGCTGAGGGATAGACAACAGAAATCTCCAAAGCAGCTCCAAGCATTCTTTCTTCTGTTACAGGCATTTTAAGAGAAGCATGAGGAATGCCCAGAAGTCGAAGAAATATCCCTCTTAGAAGAGCTCACTGGCATCTATCCCCTCATACCTCCTTCCAGTCACCTCTTATCTTTTCCCAGGACTCTGTGCTTAAATTCAATCTCATTATTAGCAGCCACCAACTCCTTCACCCCAATTCAGCCATCACAGTCAAAACACAGATACCCTTCTCCAAACACTGGGATCTCAACTGAAGGAAATTAAAGGTAGTATATTCACTCAAAAAGGGTAAGCCCGACTATGGTAGAATTTCTTACCAAGAATTGCACAGTAGAATCAGTGGGTCAAATCCAGCAACCAGAAGATGTGGCAACCACTCCTTATATTTTGCTTGTGCTTTAATTGCATGATTTACAAATTCATATATATGGTTCCATGGTCCCAATGAGCAACCTTTCCTCAAAAAGTAGCGAAATATCGAAAACTTCTCGTACTTCAGGCAGTATGCCAAATGAAGTTCATTTATCTGGGCTCCATATTTCAAAAGAATGTTCACAATTCCAAAGAACTCACAGCTCCACCATAAAAAATAAAAACAAAAAAAGAAGAAGTTAGACTTTGACATAAGATACTTCTTACAAACAGTTAATAGTAGTTACAGCTGGGGAATAAGTATGGCAGATTAAATAGTGGATGGTTTCTACACATCTAGTGGATTGAGATTAGAGAATGTGGTGGGGCTTTTGCTTTTTACACCCTCCTGCATGGTTTTTAATTTTCAACTGTGAACAGGTATTATTATAATTTAAAACATTCATCTTAAATGTCATTTTAAAAAAAATTATCATTGACAGAAAACTCAAATTGTGATATTTTGTACAAATGAGTATCTTTACTACAAAATACTTTGCTTAACAAAATCAATAAACAACGTGATCAATCCTTAAAACTAAATGATTCTAGGAATCTCTAAGATATCATTTTCCTTAGCAATAACCTTAGCCAATTTCCCTCCCACTTTAAACTTATTTATTTTTCTAGATACAGGGTCTTGCTCTGTGGCCCAGGCTGACGTGCAGTGGCACAATCAAGGCTCACTGTAACTGAACTCCTGGGCTCCAGTGATCCGCCCACTTCAGCCTCCTGAGTAGGTGGGACTACAGCTACATGCCACCATGCCTGGCTAATTTTTAAATTTTTTTGTAGAGACAGAGTCTCACTATGTTGCCCAGGCTGGTCTCAAACTCCTGGCCTCAATGAATCCTCCCGCTTTGGTCTCCCAAAAGGTATGCCACCGTGACTGGCCTTACATTTATAATGGTATTAAAAAAAATTTAAAAACTTTTTTAATTAACACAAATTTAATTTACAATACTACATCTTAAAATTAATTAACTTCTATTATTATCTCCATTGTAGATGCAAAAACTGAAGCTGAGTCACAGAGCTAGTAATTGGCAGAACTGGGATAATGATATCAAACCAAAATCTAACAGTGAATATGACATAGCAAATTTCTGCAATATCTCTTCTCTATTATGAAAACTGAACACTTCATGATATAGCCAAATTGAAGAATATTTTAGAGCCAGATCTATGTTTTCCAAAGTAGGTTACACAGAACTTTAGTTCCTGAAAATGATCCATATGAAAAATACTCTCCAGTGAAAAAAACTGAGAAACCTCCTTATACAGTATACAGTGAGCCTGAGAAAGATAGGATGAATGTATTTTTAAACAATGTGTTAGTTACATTTCCAAATATATGCTCAATGTTTTTATTCAACTTTCAGATACTTTTCAGAAGAGGTACCTTTAAAATTAACAATGGGTCCAATCATTAATCTGAAAAAAGCAAACAAAAGTATAAAATGCCCAAAATTCTGTAAACACAAGAACAATGGTATATATACTTAAATATAAGTTCTATCCTATGTTTCTGGACTTTTCAAATCTTTGTAGATCCATTCCTCTTTTAGGAATTCACAAAGCACACTACAATAAGAAAAATTCTCAAAAGCCCTCTACAAAAGAAACATATTCAATATTATTTAATCCTGTACTTCCCAAACTTATTTAACAATACAACCCCTTTAATCCCATATAATATCTATTAACAATCTACAGAATTAGTATTCTACCAAAACACACTTTAGAAAATCAGCTCTAAACCTCTTCCAATTATTCACATTGCCTTGTATTAGAAGGGGCAAGAGTAAATCCCAAAAGGCTTATAAAACTGCACAGTGCTACAATATAGACCATTTCCCAAAAAAACTACCATTTGTTTGAAGAATAAAATAAACACAAAATAAACTGGAGAAGCATAGAGTTTTGTCAGCATGCCCTGAGCTTCTGGGAAGGTTATTAAAGAAGGTCTCAAATACATGTGCACACTACAGAAACACAAGCAACTTCAACTTCAGGGCTCTATATGACCTTGATTATTACATGTCACTAAGCACACAATAAATCCTTGAGCATGGATAACCTCTGGTTAAAATATAAATTAGTATGTATTTCTCTTAACACTTCAACAAATTCTCTCTGTAGCCCTAATATCAAATTGAGAAAACTCTTCAAGTACCCGAGATTTAAACAAAAGTCTATCTTGTTTAACATAAATATCAAGAATTAATTGTGACATAGAGGGACTGTACATTATATAAGAAGTGAACAACATCAGATACTGAGAGGAGAGATTTAAAAATTAAAATCCAATGTCTAGACCTTATTTTGGGGGTTTGCACATTTTCTACCACTCCGCTCCTTGAAGTTCAAAACTATGCAGAAAAACAGTGCTCACACATAAAAGAAGCACAGTAAGAGAAAATTCAACATGAAAACAAAATTTACTTTAAACAAATAGAAATGGGCAAATATCTTCAGCATTTTATGTTCAATTAGCAAACAAAATATCCAACCAACTTATTAGGTGAATTATAACAGGCCAAATAGTGAGTTTTACTGAATGGCTTTCGACCATTAGCTGAAAACAAGATGAAGACATTCAGTTTTGTCAGATGTGCCCACACGATATGGTGGCTAGAATGGACACAATTAATTCTATGAAACTAATGTAATAACAATGATTAGTATCAACTAGAAAAACAGACAAAACCAGGTGAGCTAAGCCACAATCTACTTCTGTGGCCATATATAAAAGGCATTCATATTTGCTCAAACAGTCCTAAAACTTCTCAACTTCCCTCTTCCTTTCCCATTCCATTTGGAGGAATCTTTTTCTTATATTTCCTCATTCGAGATGGATTACTCAATTACTCTTGAAAGACTGGCTTCATATCAATATAGCTGCTAACTTTTTAGCTCCAAAGGACAAAAACTGCTTTTGTTGCAGGATCTATACAGTAGTGGAGGAGACACCTTTCCATCATCCCTGGGAGTGGTGAAAGGAGCTAAGTGTCATTCTCACAAAGAATACCTACCAAAAATGTTTCAGAACACTGATACTGAGCTTAAAAGTTGAATTAGCTGAAAAAATAATAAGGAAGAGAAAACTTAAAACCTGGGGCACCTTAGGAGGCCAAGGCAGGAGGATCACTTGACCTCATAAGTTTGAGGCTGCGGTGAGCAATGATTGCACTACTGCACTCCAGCCTGGGCAACAGAGTGAAATTCTATCTCAAAACAACAAGAATAAAGAAAATCCAAAGCTGTTATTTATCATTTTCATCACCTTTTGGTGTTAATTGTACTATTTATAAAAGTAGATAAAAGTTTATTAGAATACAACAGGTCAATAGTGCAAGAAAGTCCACAAATAGTAAATTAATAGATTTCAGAGAAATACTAGAAAATATACAAATGAGAAAAGGGAAGTCTTTTAGCCATTAACACCTGAAGTCGGATAGGTGTTAATTACAACAATCATACCAAATTAACACTATCATAACACATTGTTGCTATAAAAATAAAATTTTTAAACTTATACCATTAAACTTACTATCTATTACCAAATCCCTAAAAATTAGAATATCAAATAATTAATTTTGGAAAATTGAATCTTCTAAGTTACCTGGTACCAGTATTGTGACCAAATTTGAATTCTTATAACTGGTAAAAGTGATATAGGAAATTCGTGTATCACTCATTAAGAAAAGTAAGAAGGGCTAGGCGTGGTGGCTCACACCTGTAATCCCACACCAAAAAGCCAAGGCGGACAGATCACTTGAGGCCAGGAGTTTGAGACCAGCCTGACCAACATGGGAAAACCCATCTCTACTAAAAATACAAAAATTAGCCAGGCGTGGTGGCATATGCCTGTAATCCCAGCTACTCAGGAGGCTGAGGCATGAGAAACGCCACAACCCAGAAGGCAGAGGTTGCAGTGAGTCAAGATCACGCCACTGCACTCCAGCCTGGGCCACAGAGCGAGAGACTGTCTCAAAAAAAAAAAAAAAAAGGGAAAAAATAACATATGATAGCTATTTTAAAATTAAGATTATATTCAATTGTCCTTGCTTTATAATTGGTGACTGTAATTAATTTAATTAATTTTAGTCATGTGATTGTAGGCAATCCAAATTTTAAGATGCTTACTTATCAAAAGAAATAACCAAAAACATATTTTTCAGCTTCAATTTTTTTCCCTCAGACACTGGTTATATGACCCTCTTGACATACCAAAGCAAAACCTACTGGGAAAATGATCATTTTCTTGCTTAATTGGAAAAGCTTCATACAGAAACTCAAAATGAATAAGTCTCATATTACATATACAGTAAATGTATAAGCAACCAGCCAGACATTAGATAATAAAAATGTGGTATTTAGTTTTCTTGGAAATAATGAAAGGTTTTCCTTTACCTATTAGGTAACTGGTCTAAAAAAACAAAGATTCTGCATTTTATCAAGATGATTCCCTGTGCTTCATGTTGTCTTTATTCTATCTGATCACTTATGAAAACTCTCTAATAAAGAACTCAGGTTTTTCTACAACTATATAACTTTCTGCATTTGCCTTTTGAAGCCATTTAATTATCACTCTAGATGAGATAAGTGACTATTATTTCACATTGACCTGTGATCCTACTTTGGTAAAGTTTTTTGAACCTTGATATTTTTGACAAAATTCCCACAATCAAATTCTACGTCTCTTTGACCTTAAAGTTTGCTATGTTCTATTTTATAGAATAAGGTGTTGCCCAATTCTAGAATGAAAAATAAAAAGACTAAGAGAATACACCCTCCTAAAACAGATATTTTGAGGTTTTGACTTTATTTTTAAAGGCTAAAAATATAGCATTTTCCAATGACTACTTACTGAAAATCTACCTAAGAATATATTGGTTCAATTACAAGTCTCACATGAAAGAAAATCGCTCATATGCCCTTTCGATAGCACAAAAACAAATTGTAATTATGCTCACATGGCCACTTCAAAGAGCAAAATTTCTAAGAGATGCAAAAACAAAACACACAAAAAAAACAAAACTAAGTTTGTTAACTCATGTCTGTGACCAAGGACTACTGTACACCATACTGCTTCACCTTTACTTTTCTTTTTCTTCTTTGATCCGGGGAGAGACTAGGTCTCCCTTACATTTGTTTTATAGCATTTTGATTTTTCTGACCATGCCTTTCTGTGAGTTTATCCTGTTTGGGTTTAACAGGCCTCTTAAATCTGTAAATTTATATCTTTATCCAATAATAGGAAGTTTTTGGCAATTATTAATTTACATATTTTTTCTGTGCCCAATCTCCTCTCCTTCTGGATTTTAATGACATGAATGTTAGACCTGTTGATACTGTCCCTTCGTTCCCTGACGCTCTTGTTTTTTTCTTCCATCTTTTTTCTCTTTTGTACTTCTGTGTGGATAATTTCTTTAAATTTGTTTTTAACCTTTAAATTTGTTAAACATTTGTAAATATTTGTAAATTACAAAAGCTAGTTGCCCAGAGAGGGACAGTATGAAAATATGAGTAGATGTTCCAAACAGGCAATATCCTAGAATGCAAGTACAAGGCACACATCCGGGCAAGGTGATCTGTACATATATTGACATTGAGACCAAAGACTCTCTCACCCAAAAAACTAGGGTTTTTTTAAGACAATAATTACAAATTACAAAGCATTTTCACAACTGTTAGCTCATTTGATCCTCAAAATAATTTTCTAAAGCAAGCTTAGGTGTTATTACTATCCCTATTTTAAAGATAATGGAATGAGATTTAGCAGAATGAAGTGAAATACCCAAAGTCACACAGCCATTATACATCTGTGACTCATCCAAGCCCAAGAATCATGCTCCATCCTTATCCCTCCACAAGGCATTGAGGAAGACTAACATATAATAAATATGCTAATCTGATATAATTATTGATTCATTAATTCACAAATATATTTTTAATGCCTAATAGGAGTTAGATCAAGGGCAAATCCTTGCTCTCAAGGAGCTTACATTCTAATGAAGAAGCAGGTATGTAAACAGACAAAATATTATGTCTTTAAAAAGGAGTCAAAAGGCAGCTTCTTTTTTTTTTTGTTTTTTGAATCTGCTATGTTGCCCAGGATGGAGTGGAGTGCAGTGGCGTGATCTTGGCTCACTGCAAGCTCTGCCTCCCCGGTTCACGCCATTCTACCGCTTCAGCCTCCTGAGTAGTTGGGACTATAGGCACGTGCCGCCACGCCTGACTAATTTTTTGTATTTTTAGGAGAGACGGGGTTTCAGCATGTTAGCCAGGATGGTCTCAATCTCCTGACCTCGTGATCCGCCCACCTTGCCCTCCCAAGGTGCTGGGATTATAGGCATGAGCCACTGCACCCAGCCAAAACGCAGTTTCTTAATAGGAAGTCTTCCCCCAGCATTCTCAGCCCTGATTCTTATGCCCAATACTAGTTACTAAGAGAAATATACTTCTAGTGTGAAGAAAAGCAATTCATCCATTCTCACAATCTGGTAAACATATCCAACCTCTTTTGCTCAAGTGTTGAGCTAACAAAACAACCTTCCATATTGTCTTTAGGAACACTGGGTTGTCCGTTCCAGAAAGAGGAAATAAATACTATAAGTAACCTGTTGCTGTTTACCCTGCCCAGCTCTTCTTTTGCTGTGAATAAATAATTGTTCTGGTCTAAAAATCAGCTGTAGGAGAGTTACTATGGGTCAATTCTCTATACCACTGCCATGCAGCGGACTTTTCTGTGATGATGTGCTATTCGGTAGGGTAGCTAGCCACACATGACTCTTGAGCATTTGAAGGGTGGCTAGGGAAACTGAAGAAGTAATTTATAACGCTACTTAATTTTCATTAATTTAAATAGCCACATGTGGCTGGTGGCTACCAATTTGGGCAGCACAGCTCTAGACTCTTGCTACTTAGTGTGGTCTGTGGATCAGCAGCATTGGCACCATCTTGTTAGCTTGTTAGAAATGCAGAGTATGGGCCAGGTGTGGTGGCTCACGCCTGTAATCCCAGCACTTTTGGGAGGCTGAGGCGGGCAGATCACTGGAGCTCAGGAGTTGGAGACCATCCTAGCTAACATGGTGAAACCCCATCTCTACTAAAAATACAAAAACAAAATTATCTGCGCGTGATGGCGGGCACCTGTAGTCCCAGCTACTCGGGAGGCTGAGGTGGAGAATGGCATGAACCCAGGAGGCAGAGCTTGCAGTGAGCTGAGATCGCACCACTGCACTCCAGCCTGGGCGACACAGCGAGACTCCGTCTCAAAAAAAAAAAAAAAGAAAGAAATGCAGAGTATGCCGGGCACAGTGGCTCACGCCTGTAATCCCAACACTTTTGGGAGGTGAAGGGGGGCAGATCACTTGAGCTTACGAGTTATAGACCAGCTTGGCCAACATGGTGAAACCCCATCTCTACTAAAAATACAAAAATTAGCCGGGTATGGTGTCACATACCTGTAATCCCAGCTATTCAGGAGGCTGACGCACGAGAATTGCATAAACTCGGGAGGTGGTGGTTGCAGTGAGCCGAGATGGTGTCACTGCCCTCCAGCCTGGGTGATAGAGTCAGACTCTGTCTCAAAAAAAAAAAAAAAAGAAAGAAAGAAAGAAAAGAAAAGAAAAAGAAAGAAATGCAGAATATCAGTCCCCACCCTAGATCTACTGATGTGGTTTGGATCTGTGTCCCCACCCAAATCTCATGATGAATTGTAATCCCCAGTGTTGAAGGTGGGGCTTGGTGGGAGGTGACTGGATCATGGGGATGGGTTTCTCATAAATGGTTTAGCACCATCCCCCTCGGTAGTGTCCTCACAGTAGGGAGTTCTTGTGAGAGCTAGTTGTTTAAAAGTGTGTGGCACCTCCCACACTCACTCTCTTGCTCCTGCTCCTGCCATGTAAGAAGCAGCCTGCTCTCACTTCGCCTTCTGCCATGATTATGTTTCCTGAAGTGTCTCCAAAAGCTGAGCAGACACCAACATCATGGTTCCTGTACAACCTGTGGAACTATGGGCCAATTAAACCTTTTTCTTTATAAATTACCCAGTCTCAGGTATTTCTTTATAGCAATGCAAGAACGAACTAATACAGAAAATTGGCACTGAAGAGTGGGGCATTGCTATAAAGATACCTAAAAATGTGGAAGCAACTTGGGAACTTGGTAATGGCAGAGAGTGGAAGAGTTTGGAGGGCTCTGAAGAAGACAGAAAGATGAGGGAAAGTTTGGAACTCCCTGAAGACTGGTTAAATGGTTGTCACCAAAGTGCTGATAGTGAATAAAAGTAAAGGCTGGGCTGACAAGGTCTCAGATGGAAAAGCAGAACTTACTGGGAAGTGAGCAAAGGTCACTTTTGTTATGCCTTAGCAAAGAACCTGAATGCACTGTGCCCCTGCTCTGGGGACCTGTAGAACTTTGAACTTGAGAGTGATGATTTAGGGTACCTGGTGGAAGAAACTTCTAAGCAGCAAAGCAGCCTGTCTGCTTGTAAGAGCCTATGCTCATATGCATGAGCAAAGACAGGACCTAATGTTGGAACTTACATTTAAAGGAGAAGCAGAGTATAAAAGTTTGGAAAATTTGCAGCCTGGCAAATGGTAGAAAAGAAAAGCCTATTTTCAGGGAAGGAATTCAAGCAGACTTCAGAAATTTGCATTAAGTAAAAAGGAGGCAAGTGCTAATAGCCAAAACCACCAGGGGGTGGTGGAAGGCCTCAAAGGCATTTCAGAGACCTTCCCAGCAGCCTTACCCATCACAGGCCCAGAGGCCTAGGAGGACTGAATGGTTTCATGGGCCAGGCCCAGTGCCCCACTGTCCTCCACAGCCTTGGGACACTAGTCCCTGCATCCTAGCCACTCCTGCTATGGCTCAAAGGGGCCCAGGTACAGCTCAGGCCACTGTTTCAGAGGGTACAAGTCACAATGGTGGCTTCCACATGGTCATGGTGTTAACCCTGTGGGTGCACAGAATTTAAGAGTTGAGGTTTGGGAGACTCTGCCTAGGTTTCAGAGGATGTCTGAAAAAGCCTAGATGCCCAGCATAAAGGGCCTTCTTTCTTTGCATTGGTCTTGCCTCTACCCCATAAACATACCAGAAAGAGGAGGGAAGGAGAGAGCCTGGAACACTGAAATCTAAAGAAAGTTAGTATAAGATGTTTAGATGAAGGCTGGAGGTGGAAAGAGCATGTTTCTCAGGGATATTTGTACAAAATAAAATGATGGCATTTCCTTGATCATTACTGAATATGAATGATGGGTCTATGGGAGTTCACTGTACCAATTTCTTTACATTTACATATGTTTGAAAATTTCAAAATTAAAAAACAGCAATTTCAGAGATAATGTGTGAGACAGCTAGCCTCCAAGATGGCCCCCAATCATCCTTTCCTCCTCCTATTTGTGCTTTTGTACAGTCTTTCCATATTGAATCAGGGCTTGTGTATGTGATCTGCGGAGGTGACAGCCATAATTTCAATGAACCAGGTCACTGTGACTTCCGTCTTGTTCTCTCTTAGACCTCTTCCTCTGAGGGAATCAGCTACCATGCCATGAGGATACTGCAGCCGTCCTGTGGGGAGGCTTTTATAGAGAGAAACCGAGGTTTCCTGCCAACACCCAGCCATATGAGTGATCCATGTCAGTGAGCCTCTGTGGAAGTTGATCCCCTGGCTCCTGTCAAGCTTGCTAATGACTGTAGCTTCATCTGATATTTAATGCAACTATAAGAGAAACCTCCAAGCCTGAACTGCCCACCAAGCTACTCCTGAATCTCTAACCAACAGAAACTCCAGAAGCTGCATGGCTGTGCCACGCCAGTCTGCACGCTCCAGCTGCCAGACAGCATGTCTTCCCCTTTGTTAATAATTTCTAATGGTTTACTTTCAAGTTAATTTACTCTTTCCTATATCTTTCATTTGGCTATGGAGTCCATGTAGTAAATTTTTCATTGCAGATTATTGTATTTTTCCGTCTTTTTTATAGTTTCTACTACTCAGCTGAGAATTTCTACCTTTTCATTTTTTCCAGTGTGTTAGCCTCATGAAGCACCATTATAAGAGCTGCTTTCAATTATCTGATATTTCTAATATCTGGACCATCTCAGGACTGGCATCTATTAATTGCTTTTTCCCATGAGATTTAGTAATGTTTTATCAGTTCTTCATATGTCAAATAATTTTAGGTTGTCTCCTGGACATTGTGAATGTTATGCTGTATAAATTCTGAGTCCTGGGTCTTGTTATAATCCTTTGAAGAACACTAGCTTTTTGGTTTGTTTATTTCAGCAAGCATATAACCTAGTTAGGTTCAAACTGCAATTTCTGTTTTACCTTATACAGTGGTTCCAACGTCAGCTCAGTTCTCAAAAGCCTTGACTTTCCTGCTTTAAGCTTGGACCCATGAATGTGCCACTCAGGGTCTAGCCTGAGACTCTGATGATAGTTCAAATCTTACTTTCAACATTTTGGGTTGGCTGGGTGCTGTGGCTCACGCCTGTAATCCCAGCACTTTGAGAGGCCAAGGCAGGGAGATCACCTGAGCTCGGAGTTCAAGACCAGCCTAGGCAACACGGCAAACCCTGTCTCTACAAAAAATACAAAAAAAAAAAATTCCAGGCATGGTGGCGCACAACCGTAGTCCCAGCTACTCAAGAGGCTGAGGCAGGATAATTGCCTGAGCCCAGGGAAGTCGAGGCTGCAGTGAGTCATGATCATATCACTGCACTCTGTGTGGGCAACAGAATGAGATCCTGTCTCAAAAACAAAACAAAATAAAAAACAATTTGGGTCTATCTTGTGCATTTAAAGCTTGGGGTAAGTCAGGAATATGCAAATTCATATGCACAATTAGGGTATCCGCTTCTCCAAGCTCTCTCTTCTCCAAGATTCCCTACCATTCTCTGGCCCACAGGGTTCCATTTACCTGATTCCTCTGACCAGAAAAACAGGCTTTCTATTGTGTCTATGTTTCAGCTTCCTCAGTAAGTTTAACAGGATCTATTTAGTGCTCTCTATATTAAACAACTGGTCAATTAATGTTACTGACTGATATTAGCTGCTGGTGCCACTGGTGCTACTCAGCTCCAGATCAGGGTTGGCCCTCAGGGCAACACAGCAGAAGAAAAAGAAGGCCAGGCGCGGTGACTCATGCCAGCACTTTGGGAGTCCGAGGCAGGCAGATCACTTGAGGTCAGAAGTTTGAGACCACCCTGGCCAACATGGTGAAATCCCATCTCTTTTAAAATACAAAAAGTAGCTGAGCATGGTGGCACATGCCTACAATCCCAGCTACTTGGGTGGCTGAGACAAGAGAATCACTTGAACTCGGGAGATGGAGGTTGCAGTAAGCCCAGATCGCGCCACTGTACTCCAGTCTGGGCAACACAGCGAGACAGTCTCAAAAAAAAAAAGGAAAAAGAAATGGGAAAATTCGTTTTCATGTGGGTCACTTCACCAAGTTACCACTCTCTTTCATAATCTATCTGCTTTTGTTCCTTTGAGAGTCCTCAGGTAGTTTCTTTTTGAATTTTGACCACAGTTTTTTGTAGTCATTAGAGAGAAAGAGAGAGGCTGTAGTGGAATTACTCCACTGCATGTTAAGAACTTCTTAGCATCACTGAAGTTTACACAGAAAAAAATTCTACAGAGTAACTGAGACATAAAAAGCAAACCAAACTGTGGAGTTCCTTAAAAATACAACTTTGGAGTACTTGTGAAAGGAAAAGAAAAAAAATCATTTATATCACTATTCAAGAATGAGATAATAGCTCCTATTTGCAGTTATCCCAGACACAGCAGAAAAAAATAGGAACCTTCCCTTCCATGAGTCTCTATAAAAAAATACAAAAAAAAAAAAATACATTAAAAACGCTTCTTTGCCAAAGACAGCAGAAGATAGTGAAGTAAATGCCACTAAATACTGTTTTTCCCATTAGGTTTTAAATTCCTAAAGGATCGTGTGTATGTTTCAGCTTCCTCAGTAAGTTTAACAGGATCTATTTAGTGCTCTCTACATAACAAAATGGTCAATTAGTGTTACTGACTGATTTTGTAGAAATCAAAGGAGAAAAAAGGGTCTGCCCCCTAAAATTTCAACTAATCTTGGAAAATCCAGAAACCTATTTAAGATCTTTCCCACCTAATTTCATTTATCCGAATCTACAGAAGGCATGAAACATACTGCCCAGCTCCCAAGGAATATCATTAATTTTAAGGTGTTTCAGAGTTAACAGGGGTACTACATTATATGGCTTAATTCAAACTACACTTATAAGGTGATGAGGCGTGAGCTTAGCTGCTGTGACCAGAAGGACCAAAAACATTGTTCATCCAAAAGATAAGATGAAGGCCAAAAAAGACCATCATCATATTGAACACACACACACACACACACACAGGCGCGCGCGCGCGCGCAATCCAAAATCATTATATTCTGGTCTAATAAGAAATGTTCAGTTCTGTAACGGACTTAAGATTTGGGATAGAGAAAGGCAACTAAAAGTTATCAGTGCAACCTCACTGAAGGTCAACTAAAGTAATTAGGGCTCTTCTGTTTAAAAAGACAAAACTTAACGGGGTACACAAGAAAATCCTATGAAATCATGAAAGTTATACATAAAGTGGGCCCCAGATACTCAGATTAACCAAAACCCAAATATTCAAACTAAAATGTATAAGTTTAAGAGGCCGGATGGGGTGGCTCACACCTATAATCCCATCACTTTTGGAGGCTGGAGGCAGACAGATCACTTGAGGCCAGGAGTTCGAGACCAGGCTGGTGAAACCCTATCTCTACTAAAACGTGTAAGCTTAAACTTGAAACAAATTATAGTGAACTACTAATTTTACATGGCAAATGTTAAGAGATAGTAAAGGCTGAAAAGCTTAGTAAATAATTTCTTGATAACTACTCAAATTAAATAGAGATTCATAATAGTGAATTCAAGAAGGCCAATACAATTTGAGGTATGCCTGCAACCTCTTCTGTGTCATTAAACACAATAGCATCTATCTTCATAACTTATTCCATTATTGGATGACCAGATATTACTCAATATGGCTGTTCTTACACACAGCTTTATTCTTAGTGTTTTAAAACTGTAAGAGTGTTATAGACAAAGTTACTGGCCAGACACTAACAAGGCAGCAGTAATTCTTCACTTAGTCTATTTCACAGAATTATGACAGATTAGAAAAATAATTAATTTGGGGGCGTTTAAAAACTTAATTATTTAGACTCACATCCAAAAATAATATAAAGCCAGGCATCGTGGCTCATGCCTGACATCCCAGCATTTTGGGAGGCCGAGGCAAGGGAACTGCTTGAGCCCAGGAGTTCAAGACCAGCCTGGGCAACATGGAGAAACCCCATCTCTACTAAAAATAAAAACATTAGCTGGGAGTGGTGGTGTACACCTGTAGACCCAGCTACTCTGGAGGCTGAGGTGGGAGGATCACCTGAGCCTGGGATGCAGAAGTTGCAATGAGTCAAGATGGTGCCACTGCACTCCAGCCCGGGCCACAGAGTGAGACCCTGTCTCAAAAAAAAAAAATTTTTTTTAATGCTATCCACCAAATACATTAAAAACACAATAATATCTATAAAACTAAAGTTTAATTTTTAGGCTTATATCTTATAAATTTGAAACGGTAAATGACCTGAAGCAGTCACTGCCTTACTTGATAAAGCCCCATTTTTAATTCTTGAATTGTTTTGAAGACCAAAAATATCAGCAAATTTCTGCGTCTACTTAAATTGTACGTATTCCCTAAGATTGCTACACTAAAAATATAATCCAGATCCAAAGAAGGAAGGAAAACAATGTGATATTATCACCTCATTTCTGCTTCAGCTTGACTGAAACATCATAGTTTTTTTCCTATTTGTGTTCCAAGATAGCAATTTAGCACTAACAGAGATACTAAGTTTCATCGTGAAAGAAAGTCACTTCAAAACACATCTCCATACAGCAAAAAAGAATAAAAAATAAAAACATAGCAAATATACATACTCCTTTTGGAAAGCCATGCACACAGGAGAACTGAATCCAAAAACAAGGCACGCCTGGGCGTCTGGGCTGTAGCCATTCCGGAGTAATATTTCTAGGCAATCTTCATGTCCCCCAAACACTGCTGAGTAAACAGGGCTTACTTTGTTTAGCCCAGTGTCACAGGCCCGGTTAGTAAGTGGTATTAACAAGTCCAAGATTCTATAAATACACAAATTCAGGAGAATTTAGTGTTTGTATATGTGCATAAATGTAGGCAACATTTCTATAGCACAATTTTTTTCAGAATTACCAACTGATTCATTTAAAGAAATATTTCTGTCTAGGGTGTACCTTCTACCAACAACATTAAACTATTACATGCTATATATTTACTCCAGAATGTTACACTTATTATTGCTTAATAAAAAGGTCTTTAAATACATTTGAAACAAAATTAATGTTCCTATATGTAAACAGAAAAGGTGCTCTTTTAATTTTATTACCTTACTAGCACCACCTTAACCCCCAAAATTCAAATTTTATGTTAGATATTTTAGGGTTTAATAAATTATTTAAAACATCATTCTACTAAGTATAAACTGGCATCAAGAAAATGCACTATTTTCCTTCTTAAAGTACCAACTAGTTTTTCTTTTCCAATTAGTAAAAATTTTTAAAGATGATAACTGGCATGAAATTAAGACTAATGTTTTCATCAGGAAGAAATTATAATTTGTGCTAAAATATTCTATTATCTGAAAAAAAAGTGAGCTCATTAAATATGGAGGCAGATTTATAAAGAAGCTGGCTCCTAGGTAGAGAAAGTTCTAAGAAAATAATTAAAACAAAAGTTCTTAGGTTATTTGTAAACTTACCTCTAGCAGTCAACTGGAAAGAAAAAAGGACTATTCTACCCTTCTAAAATTAAAAATAAAACTGTATAGTTAAAGCCAGGAAATTCCTTCTTTCTGGGAAAAGACAGACAGGGCTACTCTGAAGTATTTTCATAGTATTACATTTCTCTTTGTGACTTTTCCTCATGTAATGTATGTCTAAGATAACATTTAAGTAGAACTTACACTCACAAAAGGGGTTACCTTTGAAGTAGGCTATAAAGAAAATCATCAGTGACAATGAGAATTCTCAAAATTGAGAACAAATGCCCAGGAGAGTTTTGGTACCATTTAAAGTTCAGAGTACAATATCTAACACTTATGTTTAAATAAATGATCAAGAATTGGGGAAAATATCAAATTTTTAAATCTAAGTATTTTGTTAAAATAGTCTAATGTCTCTTAACTTTAATAAATGTGTTTAATTTTTTTAAGTAGGTGGGAAAAATTATACTCTCCCACAAGACATAAACATGCTTACAAATATCATTAATGAAATAGTAAAGTACTGTGTCACCTAGTGGCATAATGACCAAATTGCAGAATCTGTTTTCCTACTATGTAAACAAACTAAATTAAGTAATGAATATTTTACTATTACTTTTTAAATTAAATAATACTAATAGCAGCTATAAAAAGTGCTATTATAGAATTATGGCTCTAAAGATTCTAAACATGTATTTCTAAAAATTATTGACTGCCAATTTATGATAGGTAGCCATATTCTCACATATATTTCTAAAAATCATTGACTGCCAATTTATGATAGGTAGCCATATTCTCACAGGTATAACCAAGTTACTAGCTTCTAAGATTCCTGGAACCCCCATTTACTCTCTCTCCAATTTGAGGTTAGATCAAGAAAAGTTCAGTCAAAGGGTTTAAGACAGGGAGGACTACTTAGCACACACTCCAACAGGCATCACAAACTCAAAAGCTTTCTGGGGTCAGAGAGGTAACATGGATGGCCTCATCAGATTGATGCTTAAAGATGCCTGGGATAAAACTAGGGAGGAGGAGGCGGCGGATACAGCCATAACTAGAGAAATCAATGGGAAGAGTCAACACCCCGAGAAAGTCCCTGAGCCTACCCAGTCTGTAGCAATTCTGCCTCACAATATGAAAGTGCAGGAATAGTAGGAGCAAAAGACAGCATGAAGGACAGATTAGGGGTAGATCTGTTCACCCAGCAGATTGGTAGGGAAGAGAATATCAAAGACTTTGCCTAGAGGTGAAGGGTCTAGCCCAGATTTATTCTTTATTAGCTTTTGATTAAGAGACCATGTTTATTTTCTGTTTTTAACACTTACTTTGTATGGCCCATTTGTGCAGCTGCATGAATAGGTAACTGCCAACTGTCCTCATTACAGTAAAGATCAGGATCTGCCCCACTGGAGAGCAAAAGCTCCACACATTTTGTGTGTCCCTCTTGAGCAGCAATGAACAAGGGTGTAGCTTTGTCCAAGGCTTGACAATTGACATTTGCACCTAAGGGTACAAAATAAAACATTTAACAGATAACCCTAATACTTAAAAAAATCAACACAAATTTCAAAGGAACTACCATAAAAGGGTTTCGTAGCACGGTAAGCTTTTCCCTCTTCACTGAATGTTGGATGTTGTTATATAAACATATTTACTTTGCTAACTTCTTGGTAATCATTTAAATTGTCTTCGCTAAACTGACAGGGTAGCTCATGCCTGGAATCCCAGCAATTTAGGAAGCTGTGGCCAGAGGATTGCTTGAGGCCACGTGTTTGAGACCAGCCTGGGCAACATAGTGAGACCCTGTCTCTATCAAAAATAAAAAGGTCTTGCCTCTACGTCAGCAAGAAAACAAGTGATTCATATCTTAGAATTCATTTTTAAGCTAAAACAAAAATCCTATTCAATGAAGGATACATTTCATTCCAATCCCTCCTCCAACAAGCATTCTGGGGCCCAATAAGTAAACATTTAAAAAGAAAAATGCAAACTATCAAACATGGATAATATTTCTGATAACTGCTGAAAAAGATAAAATCCAAATTATGCCACTAATTGATTCAGGCTAAGATTTATGAAAAATTATCAGTAGATATGACATATATGGGAGCCACGCCTTAAAACTAATATTGACTATACTCTCTATTACATCTCTTTCTTCATAACCACTGCATGATAAATAATGCCTACAATCAGAGAAAAAGGGTCTCTTTCAACAGGTTTCTGAGTTGATATTTAAAATCATAAATGTGAAAGGGAAAAACAATAATATTATAGTGAAAGAAAGAAAAAGAAAAAAATCCCACCTGCATGAAAATAATTACAAAAATTAGAAGTGTGAACATCTCCAGATGAAAAGGAACTACCCCAAGAATTTTGGATTTGTGAAAAATCTAAATATAGTGACACCACTGAAGGATCACAGTCGTGTTCCCGCAATGGTTCCTGACCCAAATGGAAACTCAGAAATGACAGATAAAGAATTCAAAGCAAGGATTGCAAGGAAGCTCAACAAGATCCAGACAAGGTTGAAAATAAACACAAAGAAACTTCTAAAGCAATTCAGGAAATGAAGGCATCTTAAGATAAACATCTTAAAAAGGAATCAATCAGAGCTTCTGGAATTGAAAAACTCACTTAAGGAATTTCAAAATATAACTGCAAGTTTTATTAATAGACTAGGCCAAGCAGAAGGAAGAATTTTGGAGCTTGAAGATCAGTCTTTCAAACTAACCCAGTCAGATAAAAATAAAAATAAAAAATTTTTAATGAAAAAGGCTTTGAGAAATATTTGATAATGTAAAGCAACCAAATCTATGAATTATTGGTATTCCTGAGAGAGAAGGAGAAAAAGTAAATGACCTGGAAAACATATTTGAGGACATAATTTAAGAAAATTTCCCTAATCTTGCCAGAGAGGAAGACATCCAGATAGAAGCAATACAGAGAACTCTCTGTGAACGTGAATATCACCATGGCATACAGTCACCAGACTGTTGAAGGTTAACACTAAAGAAAAAATCTTACAGGCAGCTAGAGAAAAACGTCAGATCACATACAAAAGGAACAGTGGACTTCTCAGCAGAAACCTTACAAGGCAAGAGAGATTGGGGGTCTATTTTCAGCATTCTTAAAGAGAGGACACTACAACCAAGAATTTCATATTCCACCAAACTAAGCTTCACAAACGAAGGAGAAATAAAATATTTTACAGACAAGCAAGCGATAAGACAATTTGTTACCACTAGACCAGTCTTAGCAGAGATCCTTAAGGGACTTTTAAACATGGAAATGAAAGAACAACACTGATACCACAAAAACACACTGAAGTACATAGCCCAAAGACCCCATAATACAATCATACAATAGAAACTGCAAAGCAACCATCTACCAACTTAATAATAGGATCAAAACCTCACATATCAATATTAACCTTGAATGTAAAGGGTCTCTTCAGATCATACAAATCTTTCGCCTTTTACGAAACATCCTGCCTAAAAGGCACACAGCTGCAATTTGGATTAAAAAAAAAAAAAGAAAGAAAAAAGACCCATCCATCTGCTGCCTTCAAGAGACACGTCTCACATGTAACAACACCCATAGGCTCAAAGTAAAGGGTTGAAAAAAGATTTATCAACCAAATGGAAAACAAAAAAGGTCAGGGGTCACTAGTTTTTTATTTTATTTTATTTTATTTTTGAGACTGAGTCTCGCCGTGTCGCCAGGCTGGAGTGCAATGGTGCGATCTCGGCTTACTGCAACCTCTGCCTCCTGGGTTCAAGCAATTCTCCTGCCTCAGCCTCCCGAGTAGCTGGGACTACAGGCATGCACTACCACGCCCAGCTGATTTTTGTATTTTTAGCAGATAGAGACGGGGTTTCACCATGTTGGCCAGGATGGTCTTGATCTCTTGACCTCGTGATCCACCCACCTCGGCCTCCCAAAGTGCTGGGATTACAGGCGTGAGCCACCACGCCCAACCAGGGGTCAATATTCTTATATCAGATAAAACAGACTTTAAATCAGACAACAGAGCCAGGCACAGTGGCTCACGCCTATAAGCCCAGAGCTTTGAGAGGCCGAAGTATGACAGAGCAGGAGTATCACCATCTTGCACAAGCACTGTTATTTTCCAATTCACCTTAATCAAAAACTTCCTAAATCCAAAGCGCATCAGCCTAAATGGCTAAGATCAGCATGATCATAAACAAAAAAAGCATCTCCGACCAGGAACATGCCAAACTCCTCTGCGACCAGAGACATGCTAGCTGCCCTGCTCTGGCTGGGAAGATGCCAGCCCCGAGATAACTCCCTTCCTTCTAGAAAGACGTCAGCCCCAAGATAATCCCCCCTTCACCCAGAGACATTCCAACCTCACCATAAACTTCTCCCCCACACATAAACACTCCAAGCTTGTGATAAGCCCCCTCACCCTAAAACCAATATATACTCATGTACTTAGCCTGTAAGAGAAAGTGCTCCTGATCGAAATCAGCCAGAAACCCTTCTCAGGTTTTATCTAAAGTAAACCTGTCTTTAACTGCCAACCCATCTTTTGTGTTTCTTTCCTCTTTCTTTAACTCTTACAAGGGGGGAGGATCGCTTGAGCTCAGGAGTTCAAGACCAGCCAGGGCAATGTGAAAGGAAAATAAATCTTGGGACCCCCACAATCACTAAGCCAAAGGGAAAAGTCAAGCTGGGAACTGCTTAGCGCAACCCTGCCTCCTATTCTATTCCTAAAAAATAGCTACTAAGATTAGAAAAAGTTACGTACCTCCCTCACAAGGAATTTCCCTGTGGACGAAGGACAGACAGAACTCAAACTCAAAGTCATCCCTCTGCTCACTGGGATAAGTGCATATCTGAGTGCCTCCTTTGGAAAGGCTAATCAGAAACTCAAAAAAAAAAAAAAAGGCAACCATTTGTCTCCTACCTACCTATGACCTGGACATACTCTCCCCACTTTGAGTTGTCCCGCTTTTCCAGACAGAACCAATGTATATCTTATATATGTTGATTGATGTCTCATGTATAAAACGTATAAAACCAAGTTGTGCCCCAACCACTTTGGGCATATGTTGCCAGGACCTCCTGAGGCTGTGTCACAGGCACATGCCCTTAATGTTGGCAAAATAAACTTCCTAAATTGACTGAGATCTCTCTCAGATATTTGGGGTTCACAGCAACACAGTGAGACCCCATTTCTATTCAAGAAAAAATTATATATAAAAAAACCAACAACAGTACAAAAGGACAAAGAAGGTAATTACATAATGATAAAGGGTTCAATTCAATGAGAAGACTTAACTATCCTAAATATACACACACCCAACATTGAAGCATCCAGTTTCATAAAACAAGCTCTTAGAGATCTATAGAGATAGCAATAATGTTGGGAGATGTCAAATCCCATTGACAGCATTAGACAGATCACTGAGGCAGAAAATTAAAAAACAAATTCTGGGTGTAAATTCAACATTTGACCAATTGGACCTAATACACATCTAAAGAACACTCCACTCATCAACCACAGAATATATATTCTTCTCAACAGCACATATAACATACTCCAAGACAGACCACATGCTCGGCCAAAAAGCACATCTCAATAAATTTAAAAAACTGATTCACTTGTGAGGCCGAGATGGGCAGATCACTTGAAGGTCAGGAGTTTGAGACCAAATTGGCCAACACGATGAAACCCCATCTCTACTAAAAATACAAAAAAATTAGCTGGCCACAGGGGTGCGCGCCTGTAATCCCAGGTACTCAGGAGGCTGAGGCAGGAGAATTGCTTGAACCAGGAGGGGGAGGTTGCAGTGAGCCAAGATCATGCCACTGCACTCCAGTCTGGGTACAGAGCAAGACCCTGTCTCCAGAAATATAAATAAATAAATAAATAAATAAATAAATAAATAAATAAACTGAATTAATACCAACCATACTCTCAGACCACAGTAGAATAAAAATAGAAATCAATACCAAGAAGATCTTCCAAAACCACACAATTACATAGAAATTAACTTGCTCTTGGCTGGGCACAGTGGTTCACGCCTGTAATCCTAGCATTTTGGGAGGCCAAGGCAGGCAGATTGCCTGAGCTCAAGAGTTCGAGACCAGCCTGGAAATGTGGTGAAACCCCATCTCTACTAAACTACAAAAAAAAAAAAAAAAAAAAAAATTAGCCAGACATAGTGGTGTGTGCCTATAGTCCCAGCTACTCAGGAGACTGAGGCAGGAGAATTGCTTGAACCTGGGAGGCGGAGGTTGCGGTGAGCCTAGATGGTGCCACTGCACTCCAGCCTGGCGATAGAGTGAGACTCTGTCTCAAAATCAAACAAACAAACAAACAAACTTGCTCTTGGATAACTTTTAAGTAAACAATAAAATTATGGCAGAAATCAAAAAATTCTTTGAAATAAATAAAAACAGACACAGAACATATTAAAATGCAGCAAAAAGTGTTAAGAAGTTTATAATGCTAAACATCTAGCTCAGAAAGAAAGATCTCAAATTAATGATCCAATATCACACTTCGAGGAATAAGAAAAAACAGAACAAACTAACCCCAAAGCTATTAGAAGAAAAAAAATAATTAAAATCAGAGTGGAACTGAATGAAATTGAGACCCAAAAATCCATACAAAGGATCAATGAAACCAAAAGTTGGTTCTTTGAAAGGATAAACAAAATTGACAGACTGCTAGCTAGATAAAAAAAAGAGCGAAGGTCCAAATAAGCACAATCTGAAACAACAAAGTTGACATTACAATAGATTCTACAAAAATACACAAGATCCTCTGAGACTATTACGAACACCTCAATGCACGCAAATGAGAAAATCTAGAGGAAATGGATAAATCACACAATCTCTCAAGACTGAATCAGAAAGAAATTGAAATAGACCAATATCAAGTTCCAAAACTGAATCCATAATAAAAAAAAAAAAAACCTACCAACCAAAAGTCCTGGACCACATGAATTCACAGCCGAATTCTACCAGACATACAAAGAAAAACCAGTACCAATTCTACTGAAACCATTCCCAAAAATCAAGGAGGAGAGACTCCTCCCTAACTTGTTCTACAAAGCCAGCATCACCCTAATACAAAAATCTGGCAAAGACACAATGAAGAAAGAAAAGTACAGGCCAATAGTGCTGACGAACATAGATACAAAAATTCTCAACAAAATATTAGCAAATTAAATCCAGCAACACATCAAAAAGTTAATGCATCATGATCAAGTAGGCTTCATTGTTGAGAAACAAGGTTGGTTCCATATATGCAAATGAATAATTGGGATTCACCACGTAAAGAAAATTAAAAACCAAAACTATATGATCATCTCAACAGATGTGAGAAAAGCCTTCATAAAACCCAACATCCCTTCATGATAAAAACAAAACAAACAAAACAAAACCCTCAACAAACTAGGCATTGAAGGAATGTATCTTAATAAGAATCATCTATGACCAACCCACAGCCAACATCATACTGAACAGGCAAAAGCTGGAAGCATTCTCCTAGAGAAATGGAAGAAGACAAGGATACCCACTCTTACCACTCCTATTCAACATAGTACTGAAAGTCCTTGCCAGAACAATCAGGCAAGAGAAAGAAATAAAAGGCATCCAAATAGGAAAAGAAGAAGTCAAACAATCTCTCTTCTCTGACAATATGATTCTATACCAAGAAAACCCTGCAGACTCCACAAAAAGGCTCCTGAAGCTGATAAACAACTTCAGTAAAATTTCAGGTTACAAAATCAATGTATAAAATCAGCAGCATTTCTATACATCAACAATGTTCAAGCTGACAGCCAAATCAAGAACACAACTCCATTTATAACAGCCACCAAAAAAAAATTTTAAACCTGGGAATACATCTTACCAAGGAGGTGAAAGATCTCTACAAGGAGAACTACAAAATACTACTGAAAAAAAATCATAGATGACACAAACAAACGGAAAACGCTGCTCACGGATTGCAAAAATCAATATCATTTTAAAAAATACCCATACTGCCCAAAGCAATCTATAGATTCAACACTATTCCTTTTTTTATTTTTTCCCCTGTTAAATGTCAGAGTTTTTTGTTTTTGATTTTCATAAGTTATTGGGGAACAGGTAGTGTTTGGTTACATGAGAAAGTTCTTTAGTGGTGATTTGTGAGATTCTGGTGCACTCATCACCCAAGCAGTATACACTGCACCCAATTTGTGATCTTTTATCCCTCACCCCCTTCCCATCCTTTCCCTGAGTCCCTGAAGTGTCATTTTTATGCTTCAATGCTATTCCTATCAAACTACCGACACCATTTTTTACAGAATTAGAAAAAAAATTTCTTAAATTCATATGGAACCAAAAAAGGGCACAAATAGCCAAAGCAATACCAAGCAAAAAGAATAAAGCTGGAGGTATCACATTACCCAATTTCAAACTCTACTTTAAGGCTACAGTAACCAAAACAGCATGGTCCTGGTACAAAAACAGACACAAAGACCAATGGAATAGAATAGAGAATCCAGAAATACAGCCATGCACCTACAGCCATCTGATCTTTGACAAAGTTGACAAAAATAAGCAATGAGTTAGAGACTCCTTATTCAATAAACGGTGCTAGTATAGCTGGCTAGCTACATGTAGAAGAATGAAACTGGAACCCTATCTTTCACTATATACAAAAATCAACTCAAGATGGATTAAAAGTTTAAATGTAAGACCTCAAACTATAAAAATCCTAGTTAGAAAAAAAAATGAGAAAACACTGTTCTGGACATCGGCCCTGAGAAAGAATTTATGACTAAGTTCTCAAAAGCAATTGCAACAAAAACAAAAATTGGTAAGTGGGACCTAATTAATCTCTTTAGATTAATTAAGCTCTTTAGCTTCTGTAAAACAGAAGAATCCACAGACAACCCACAGAATAGGAGAAAATATTTGCTAACTAGGTATCTTTATAGATTCTGGATATTACACAAAGGTCTTTATCTTAACTTTGTCCAATATCTAGAATCTATAAGGAACTTAAACAATTCAACAAGCAAAAAACAACCCCATTAAGAACTGGGCAAAAGGACTGGGCACATTGGCTCACGCCTGTAATCTCAGCACTTTGGAGGCCAAGGCGGGTGGATCACGAGGTGAGGAGATCAAGACCATCCTGGCTAACACGGTGAAAACCCCATCTCTACTAAAAATACAAAAAATTAGCCAGGCATGGTGGCACGTGCCTGTAGTCCCAGCTACTTGGGAGGCTGAGGCAGGAGAATCACTTGAACCCAGGAGGCAGAGGTTGCAGTGAGCAGAGATAGTGCCACTGTACGCCATCCTGGGCAACATAGCAAGACTCCATTTCAAAAAAAAAAAAAAATTGGGCAAAAGACATGAAAAGATACTTCTCAAAAGAAGACATAGAAGCAGCCAACAAACACATGAAGAATTGCTCAACATCACCAATCACCACAGAAATGCAAATCAAAACCACAATGAGATATAATCTTATACCACTCAGAAAGGCTATTACTAAAAAGTCAAAAAACAACAGATGCTAGAGAGGTTGCAGACAAAGGGGAACGCTTATACATTCTTGGTGGGAATGTAAATTAGTTCAGCCACAGTGGAAAGCAGTTTGGAAATTTCTCAAAGAACTTAAAACTACCATTCAACCCAGCAATTCCATCACTGGGTATATATCCAAAAGAAAATAAATCATTCAACAAAAATATACATGCACTTGCATGTTCATCACGGCACCATTCACAATAGCAAAGACATGGAATCAACCTAGGTGCCCATCAATGGATACCTGGTGGATCAGATAAAGAAAACACAGTAGATGTACACCATGGAATACTACGCAGCCATAGAAAAGAATAAAATCATGTCCTTTCAGCAACATGGATGCAGCTGGAGGCCATTATTCTAAGTGAATTAACAAATTAACAAAAACCAAATACTGCATGTTCTTACTTATAAGTGGAGGCTAAACACTGGGTACTCAAGGACATAAAGATAGCAACAACAGATACTGGGGACTAATAGAGAGGGGAGGCAGGGAACAGGGCAAGGGCTGAAAAGCGAACTGTTGAGTACTATGCCCACTGTCTAAGTGATGAGGTCATTCATATCCCAAACCTCAGCATCATGCAATACACCTATGTAACAAACCTGCATGCATACCCTCTGAATCTGAAATAAAAGTTGAAATTATAAAAAATAAAATAAAATCACAAATCTAATTAAATTATATATACGCCATTGTATAAAGATTTTTAAAAGCTAACCTCACTTTTTGTGAAGATTTTGAAAATAGCAGTCATCTCCAAACTTTTCTTGTTGGCAAATAATGTATTAAATATGCTACATATGATGTTGTTACATGACCATGAGAGTTTTTTAAATTTCTAGAATACATTTCGGTGGAAAGATCATCATCAAGACGGAAAAGGCTGTCTTCTATTTAAAAGAATATTCCATAAATGCACCTTGAATAAACCAAAGTTTTATGTACGCAAAAACTACACAGAACACAAATGGTAAATTAAAGAGTCTATAGATCCTTCAGAAATTTCTCATGATAGAAACTAGAAACTTCATGATTTCTATAGGGTAGATGTTTCACCCACTGTCAGTTTCAGAAAGAAGTAAACACTATAACTGAAAAGAGACTAAGTCAAGAAAGAAACCTTAACTTTTTTTTTAATGCGTTATTTTGAGTGACAATTTCAAAGTATCACAAAGAATAAGGAACCAATTTCTTTAAAGACTACTGGTGAAAAAGTTGGAAAAATTACAGACAACTCACTGAAACGAAAGTAATAGGGGTTGGAAACATGTATAGTTACATGATAAACATACCTACATACCTTTTCAACTGATTATTCAAAACAATTCAGAGAGAAGAAATAAAAAGAACAAAGCAAACCAAAACAGGAGCTCAGAGCTCCAGGCGACAAGAAAACACACCTGACATGAGGAGAGACATTAAGGTGCAGTTTAATCTATTTAATCTAAATTTTTTTTTTTTTTTTTTTGGGAGACGGAGTCCCACTCTGTCACCCAGGCTGGAGTGCAGAGGCGCGATCTAGGCTCACTGCAACCTCTACCTCCTGGGTTTAAGCAATTCTCCTGCCTCAGCCTCCTGAGTAGCTGGGACTACAGGCGCACACCACTATGCCTGGCTAATTTTTTGTATTTTAATAGAGACGGGGTTTCACCATGTTGTCCAGGCTGGTTGCAAACTCCTGAGCTCAGGCAATCTGCCCACCTTGGCCTCCCAAAGTGTTGGGATTACAGGCATGAGGCACTGCACCTGGCCTATTTAATCTAAATATTAATTAAACATATATATATATACACACACACATATATATACACACATATATATATACACATATATATACACACATATATATACACACACATATATATATACACATATATATATATAGTTTTGTTTTGTTTTGTTTTTGAGACAGAGTCTCACTCTTGTTGCCCAGACTGGAGTGCGGTGGTGCGATCTTAGCTCACTACAACCTCTGCCTCATGGGTTCAAGAGATTCTCCTGCCTCAGCCTCCCCAGTAGCTCGGACAGGTGCGTGCCACCACACCGGGCTAATTTTTGTATTTTCAGTAGAGACAGGGTTTCACCATGTTGGCTGGGCTGGTCTCAAGCTCCTGACCTCAGGCCTCCCAAAGCGCTGGGATTAGACATGAGCCACTGACCCAGGCTAAACACTAATAATTGAAACTTATGGGACTGCAAGTCATTAACTGAATTAGGATAGTCCTCCGGAAGGTATGATGTAGTAGAAGGAAGATCAGAAGTCAGAAGGCCTGGGTCCAAGCCCTGATTCTGCCAGGAAACGAGTCTAGATCTTTGACAAGGCACTTAAACATTCACAGTCTGGACTCTTAATCTAAAAACGATTATGTTTGAACAGATAATTTTGGGGATTCCTCTTAACTGTAAGATTTACAGACTCATTATTTATAACAGATGCCTTCAATTGGCACTTAATGAATGTTTGTTTCTTTTACTTCCTACTCTGACTTAAGTGTTTGAAGGTTTCTAAAAGAAAGCAAAAATAAGAAAAGATGTGCCCTGCTGTTTAAATAAACTGGATTATTGGGCAGGCACAGCGACTTACAGTGTAATCCCAGCACTTTGGGAGGCTGAGGCAGGAGGATCACTTGAGGTTGGGAGATTGAGACCACATGTCTTAAAAAAAAAAGGTTTTTTAATTAGCTGGGCATGGTGAAATGCACCTGTAATCGCAGCTATTTGGTAGGCTAAAGGGGCAAAATCGCTGGAGGTCAGGAGTTTAAGGTTACAATGAGCTGTGATCATACCACTATACTCTAGCCTGGGTGATGGAGCAAGGCCTGGCCTCAATCAATCAATAAACAAGCAAACAAACAAACTTTGTATGATCTATTTTCTATTTAAAGGAAGTTTATAAAAAGCCTGGGTTTTCTTTCTTTCTTTCTTTCTTTTTTTGGAGACAGAGTCTCCCTCTGTTGCCCAGGCTGGAGTGCAGTGGTACGATCTCAGCTCACTGCAACCTCTGCCTCCCAGGTTCAAGCAATTCTCATGTCTCAGCTTCCCTAGTAGTTGGGATTACAGGCACATGCCACCATGCCCAGCTAATTTTTGTATTTTCAGTAGAGATGGGGTTTCGCCATGTTGGCCAGGCTGGTCTCAAACTCCTGATCTCAAGTGATCTGCCCACCTTGGCCTCCCAAAGTGCTGGGATTACAGGCATGAGCAACCGTGCCTGGCCAAAAAAAGCCTAGGTATTTTTTTTTTAATTGCCTAGCCTACTGTGATTCACGCTTCATCAAGTTAGCACTGTGAAGAGCATATCTGGTGTTTGGGAGAGATTTAAAAGCCCCTGTAAAATAAACATTTCTGGTCACAAAATTGTCACTTAGAGTAAGAATGCCACCTGAACACACCAACTTCCCTGGCAATGCTGAATGTGGAAGGGTTGTCACAGAGAAACCTTTAGCAGGTTATGTTACTATTAACATAACAAAGTGTAAACCTGCTTTGAAATAAACCTATTTACATAATCACAAAATTAACATACCCCTCAGAGCCTTAATAAACAAAATAGCCATCTAATAAGGTAATTAAGCCTAAACTAGTCTTACACCCTAGAAAGTTGAAACTGCTCAAGTCCCTACAGGAAAGGACAGCCCCATCATTCAACTTGCCAATAAACCTGCTTTAGTGATAGATCATTATGTTCCTACTCAGATAAATTAGTAGCTGTGCACTGCATTGTTAGTAATAGATACTTAATAACCAGGTTTATAAATCAATTTGTATTTACTCTTATTTACCACTTACATAAAACCATAAATTTCACAACCTGATTTATATTTGAGACAAGAATTATTCCTCTAGGAAATATAGTTTAAAGCTCATGATCTTAACAGTACAAAGGCTAATGGATAATCTTACCCGATGAAATAAGTATGCTCAAGCTTTCTAGCTTGCCATACTGAGCAGCCACAAATAAAGGTGTGATTCCAAAGTCATCCTGGCATTCCTTGTTTGCTCCTTTTCTAAGAAGCAATTTTATGATCTCAGCATTTTCCTAAAGCACAGATTCACATTTTAAATAAGAAAAAAACAAAGAAAATAGAAGGTATCTTTCTTCTTACTGTGTTTTTTTTTTCTTTTTTATCCTCTCACTAAAGGATAACTTGAAGGAAAAAACAAAACAGTATACTGCTGTATTAGTTGGAAAGAAATTGGCCAAACGATCAGATTATCCTATATTTCTAGTTAACCCAATAAATGTAAACATGAAACACTGATCTCTAGGAATTATAAACCTTATAGAATCCTGAAAAATTAGCTTGCTAACCAAAGCACTAAGGAGCCATCACAATTTCTAAGCACATTATTGTAAATAAAATAACCCATTGCTCTTTATCAATTTATATCTCAAATAACTGATGGTTTCTTAAATATGCCATCTACATTTTTAAAATGTAGATAATCCCTATAGCCCAAAGCTTCCACAGCTACTACAGAAGTTGGCTGATTCAGAATCATCATTAGCATTTAGACTGCCTTTTCTGTACTGCACTAACCATCATAAATCACAGGCAAGCAGAAAGCAAAAACTGCATAGGACTGTCATTTTAAGAGGGTAAAACACACAATTTACATGGAAATGAAATAATAAATTCAGAGGTTACCTGAAAAGAAGCCTGGTGCAAGGAGTTCCATCCACACATAGAATGGGATCCATTAACATTTGCTCCGTGTTGAAGCAACAGCCTTAACACATCTATCTGTCCATTTTCAACAGCTGTAATACAGCAGTTAGAAAAATTAATGTCAGCAAAAAGGCATGTTTGTAGGACTGGACACTTTGGTGATGTTCTCATCACTTACTCACCTCAGAACCACAATGCTCTGATTATTCCTAAACAGTTATCACAATTGTCTTAGCCCAAATCCATTAACATATATCTAATTGTTTCTGAACACATGCAAAATGATTTTCAATAGCATGTTAAAAGACACAGAGGAACTGGAACCAAGAAGCAAACATTTATTCTCTCTGAAAATGGAAACAGCCTAGCTCTAGTTTGTTAAAATGAAACTGGGAGGATATAAGGTGGACAATTCAGAATCAACAGTACCAGTCTGGAAAAGCAATCTCAAAAGGACTGAAAGGTTTGCTATTACTACATTTGATCACAAATAAAAAGAGTAACTGACAAAATGAAAAAGCAACTTCTTCATCTTAGATTTTTTTTACCACTATAAATCATAAGCATTGTCAAAATGTTCTTATATCCATCAATGAAAATGTAAACGTTCTTACTTATGTGAACTAAAAGCGGATTCCAGAAAAAATAAAAAATGTTGTTAAAGAGATGCAGATTATTTTGCACAAAACTTTGCTATGAAGGTGGCACTAATTATGGAGGAATTTAAGCACGAAGTTAATGAAAAACAGAATGCCAGAATAGAATTACAAAGTGCTTTATAAAATAAGTACAAACACACACACACACCATTAGCAAATTAGGTATACTGTGAATGTTGTTAGGTGTGAGGCTACTGAGTGACTTCTTTAAATTTTAAGTTCAGAAACTTAAAATGGAGAAATAGTAGTATTTATAAGAAAGGAAGGTAAGACATGTATAAGAAGGTCTGGCTAACGTGCTTGGATGTAAGAAAGAAGATTTAAGTTGATTTCATGTCTTGGTGATTGTGAATGGTGCTGCAAGGAACATACGTGTGCATCCATCTTTACAGTAGAATGATTTCTATTCCTCTGGGTATATACCCAGTAACGGGATTGCTGGGTCAAATGGCAGTTGTGTTTAGCTCTCTGAGGAATCACCATACCGCTTTCCACAATGGTTGAATTAATGTACACTCCCATCAACTGTGTATACATGTTCCTTTTTCTCCTCAACCTCGCCAGCACCTGTTATTTTTTTACTTTTTAATACCAGCCATTCTTACTGCTGTGAGATGGTATCTCATCGTGGTTTTGATTAGTAAGAAAAAAGATTTGAAGAATAAGATTTTTTTTTCATTTCAATCATACAGTTATTCTGTATCTCCCACTATAGTAGGAGGCAGGAAGTGGGAATCAACACTTCTCAGTCACAAAATTAGAAAGGCACATTTGGATAATGAGTCACATTAGAAAACACTAATACACATGAAACAATGGGAATATAAAAATCCTTAAAAGTGTAAAACAAGAAATGATAAGCGTGCTTATTACTGAAGACAAGTAACATGCCATTGATATTGTACTAGTTTTATATATTGAATTTATACCAAAGCTTATTTCCCCTATAAGACACTCAGAAGTTCTTTAATAAAAAATTCTCCACCGAGTGTGGTGGCTCCCGCCTGTAATCCCAGCACTTTGGGAGGCTAAGGCGGGTGGACCACGAGTTCAGGAGATCGAGACCATCCTGGCTAACATGGTGAAACCCCGTCTCTACTAAAAATACAAAAAAATTAGCTGGGCATGGTGGCACGCACCTGTAATCCTAGCTACTTGAGAGGCTGAGGCAGGAGAATCGCTTAAACCTGGGAGGTGGAGGTTGCACTGCACTCCACCTGGGTTGCTGCACTGCACTCCAGCCTGGGCGACAGAGCAAGACTCCATCTCAAAAAACAAAACAAAACAAAACAAAAAACCAAAACTCTTACTCTGAAGGGTTTCAGAAATGTAACCAATGGCTGTGACAGTACCACTGAGGTAGGAATCTAACATAACTAAGTTAATATTCAAAAGCATTTACCATGGAAAAAACAGTTCTTCAAGCTATTTTTGTATAAACGATCTAAAGTCAATCTAATTTGGGGTGGCTCTCAGGTACCACATAAATATATACACTGACAGTATCCACGACAGTTTCTTTTTTCCTTTTTTTGAGACAAGCCTCGCTCTGTCGCCCAGGCTGGAATGCAATGGCGTGATCTCAGCTCACTACAACCTCTGCCTCCCAGGTTCAAGCAATTCTCCTGCCTCAGCCTCCCAAGTCGCTGGGATTACAGGCACCCGCAATCATGCTCGGCTACTTTTTGGTATTTTTGTAGAGATAGCGTCTCACCATGTTGGCCAGGGTGGTCCTGAACTCCTGACCTCAGGTGATCCACCAGCCTCGGCCTCCCAAAGTGCTGGGATTACAGGCGTGAGCCATCACACTTGGCCCCCACAACAGTTTGTTTTATTTTGAGATGGAGTCTCACTCTGTCACCCAGGCTGGAGTGCAGTGGCGCAAACTCGGCTTACTGCAACCTCCCTGTCCTGGGTTTCATGCGATTCTTCTGCCTCAACCTCCCGAGTAGCTGGGATTACAGGTGTGCACCACCATGTCTGGCTAATTTTTGTATTTTTAGTAGAGACAAGGTTTCACCATGTTGGCCAAGCTGGTCTCCAACTCCTGGCCTCAGGTGATCCACCTCCGCCTCAGCCTCCCAAAGTGCTGGGATTATAGGCATGAGCCACTGCACCTGGCCCCACAACAGCTTTAAAAAAATAACTGAAAATTAAAAAAAGCAAAATAAAGAAATTACAAATGAAATTACCATATTAAAAAAAAGCCTGAAAATAATAGTAATAATTTTGGGTGGAGGTCATAAAAGGAAAAAAATCTGTTTCATATCAAATTCATACATCATTATCAGTGACTGTTAGCAAAAATCATTCTATAGCCAGTCCATGACTTGAAGATTATCAGGTTGTCAACAGTGATATATGAAGGAGAGTGAAGGTAAGTTTGTTTTCCACAAGTTAGGCTGACCTTATAAAAATTAAAGTCAAAAAATGTGTTTTGATTATTAAATACAATATAGATGACAGAAAAATTTTCATTTTTTTAACCTTATGATGCAAGTTATGTTTTCACTTTTAATATCATAAATATATTAAGAAATCTGCTATCTGCAACTATTAAAAACATTTCCCAATGACAAAAGTAAAACTTACACATGAGCAGAAAAATATTATTTTCACAGCCCTTGTTAATTATTTCAAAATAAAGCAAATTTAATAGTTACTAATTGAGAAATCGTGGTTTAGAAAAGTGTATTTAGAGCTCAGATTTACTACCAAAGCCTCCGCTTTGGAAGAGGAGCATTCACTTTATCTATTAAAATGGAAATATCAAATTGGATGGGCTGAAGAGGAGACCCATAACTGTGCTGAATGGTTTGCTTCCAAAAAGGCAGTCATTACTTTATACAGACATACTTTCTCAAGCCTACTGAGAAAACCAAGTATAAGAGCATGTTTAGAAACTACCTAGCAAATAAAACAGACTTCACAGTCTTTTCTAAGAACAGAGTCAACCACTCACGTATCTATAAACATTGAGTACCTGTGAATTCCATGGAGATAGTGGGAATACAGATGAAATGGGAAGGATAGAGAAGGATATCAAAGTATAAAAAAGAGTGCTTCTGCCTTGAGAGCTATCTAGATGTAGAGAGAATGATACATGTCAGCAACAGCAAATTAACTCTATCCAATTGAAACAATGTTGCTAACAGGAATGAACTACACAATGACATTTTATATTATATTCTGTGTAGAAACTTGATTTACTTATTATTTTTTCCGTATCTCATGAGAAGAAGCAGGCTTCCTCCTTTTTAGAATTTCATCTGTGTCCTTTCCCTCAATTCCATACCTTCTCCACTTCCTTTTTTTTTTTTTTAAGATGGATTCTCACTCTGTCGCCCAAGCTCGACTGCAGTAGCACTATTTCGGCTCACAGCAACCTCTGTCTCCTGGGTTCAAGCGGTTCTCCTGCGTCAGCCTCCCGAGTAGCTGGGACTACCAGCATGTGACACCACACCCACCTAATTTTTGTATTTTTAGTAGAGACAGGGTTTCTCCATTTTGGCCAGGCTGGTCTTGAACTCCTGACCTCATATAATCCGCCCACCTTGGCCTCCCACCTCCTCCAATGCCGAGACCAGCTCGGTTGGGGAGACCCTAACCCAGTGGTGCTAGAGGAATTAAAGACACACACAGAGAAATACAGAGGTGTGGAGTGGGAAATCAGGGGTCTCACAGCCTTTGGAGCTGAAAGCCTTGAACAGAGATTTACCCACGTATTTATTAAGATCAAGCCAGTGATAAGCATTGTTTCTACAGATTATAGATTAACTAAAAGTATTCCTTATGGGAAACAAAGGGATGGGCGGAAATAAAGGGATGGGTTTGGCTAGTTATCTGCAGCAGGAGCATGTCCTTAAGGCACAGATCGGTCACGCTATTGTTTGTGGTTTAAGAACACCTTTAAGCAGTTTTCCGCCCTGGGTGGGCCAGGTGTCCCTTGCCCTCATTCCGGTAAACCCACATCCTTCCAGCGTGGGCGTTATGGCCATCACAAACATGTCACAGTGCTGCAGAGATTTTGTTTATGGCCAGTTTTCGGGCCAGTTTATGGCCACATTTTGGGGGGCCTGTTCCCAACACTCCACTTCGCAGTTTGTTCCTCATATTGTCTCTTCTCCAGTTTTTTCTCATCATTCCTTCTCTACTGGGCTCCACTGTTCAACCTGCAGACTAGTTTAGGTTTTCCTTTCCCTAAAAATAAAACAAACAAACAAAATATCTTCCAATCTACTGTTTTCTCTCACTTTCTTTTTTTACCACTGAACTACCCCCAAAGACTACTCTTCTTGAGTCTACATTCAGTGATCCCATTTTCCCACAAATCACTCATTCATTCATTCAACAAATGTCTACTTAGTGCCTATTATGTACCAGGTAATATTCCAGGTACTAGAGATACAGAAGTGAACAAGAGACAAAAATACCTGCCTCCATGGACCTTTTAATCACTTAATCAATAACTATCATGCAAATTCTACTGCCATAATTCATGTAAAGCTATTCCCTTGAAAATCATCATCAAATTCAATGGCCTTTTCTCAGCCTTGAACCTCCTATTCAGTTCCTACTGCCTCTGGCATTAAATTCCCCATATTTCTCTAACATAAACTTTTTTCTCCATGTCAACAGCACTGTTGTGGTGTTACAACTTTCTCTAACAACTCATTCTTCTTAGTTTAGTTGTTCTATCCTACTATTTCAGAAATGTGATGACTCACCAGGATTCTGTCTTCAATCTCTATTTATTTTTTTATTCCTTTACTTTATACAAGTTTTTTTTTTTTTTTTTTTGAGATGGAGTCTTGCTCTGTTGCCCAGGCTGGAGTGCAGTGGTGCGATCTTGGCTCACTACAACCTCCACCTCCCAGGTTGAAGCGAATCTCCTGCCTCAGCCTCCCTAGTAGCTAGGATTATAGACGTACACCTCCATGCCCAGATAATTTTTGTACTTTTAGTAGAGATGGTGTTTCACCATGTTAGTTAGGCTGGTCTTAAACTCCTGACCTCCAGTGACTAGCCTGCCTCGGCCTCCCAAAGTGCTGGGATTACACACATGAGCCACCACGCCCGGCCTATACATGTTCTCTATTAGTGAATTTGTTCAATTCTGAAACGTTACTGAGCAAATTCATCTCTAGGCGAATGATTGCTCCTAACTGAACTTTCCCTCATGGTCCAGAACCAAATTTCCAAATACCTGCCAAGTATTTCCATCCAGACATTCTATCAGCCCCTTAAAATCAACATGCCTAACACAGACCTGGAGGCATAAATTTAATAAAACATGCAAAACCTCTAAACTGTAAACTACAAAATACTACTGAGAAAAGCAAAGATCTAAAAAAAAAAAAAAAAGTAGAATACACCATGTTCATAGATATAAAGATTCACTATTTTAAAAATATCAATTCTCCCCAAAACAATCTAACGATTCAATGTGAGCCCAATCAAAATACCCAAAGGTGCTACAGGTATTGTCTTAATAGTTGGAAAAAAAAAAACAAAAACTGATTCATACAGATGGGAATGTAAAGGGCCAAATAAAGCCAAAAAAATCATGTAGAATAAAGCCAGAGGACTCATACAAGCAGCTATCAAAACTAATAAAGCTGGAATAATTAAGGTAGCATGGTATTGGCACAGGATAGAGAAAGAGACTAATAAAACAACTGAAACTGCAGAAACAGATACCTTCAACAAATGGTCACTTTTATGACAAAGGTGACAATGGTTTTGGGTCCACTGAATATCCATATGGGGAAAAAAATCTTCACCCCTGTCCCACACAATACCCAATTTCAGATGGATTGCGAATTAAATTCCAGATTGGATTTAGAAACAACAAACCTTCTAAAAAAAAAAAAAAAAGAAAGGAAAAATCTACAAACTGATCTTGGAATAGAAAAATAATTTTTAATCTTCATATTAAAAGCAATAAACATAAAGGTAAATAGTGATAAATTGGACCACGTTAAAATTAAGAACTCCTTAAATCAATAAAAAGATAAATTATTTTTAAAACATGAGAAAATTTGTGCAGGAACTTCACAAAGGAGGATATGCAAATAGCTAATAAAATACATGGAAAAGTACTCACCTTCTTGTCATTCCATTAGGGAAATGCAAATGAAAACCTCAGTGAGCACCCACAACACCACCCACCAGAATATTTAAAATGAAACACAGAGTAAGTATCCGGCAGGGATGTGGTAAAAGTGGAACTATCATATCCAGGTGGTGGTGACATAAATTAATAACCTTAAAATTGGAGGCCAGGTGCGGTGGCTCACGCCTGTAATCCCAGCACTTTGGGAGGCCGAGGCAGGCGGATCGCGAGGTCAGGAAATCGAGACCATCCTGGCTAACACGGTGAAACCCTGTCTCTACTAAAAATACAAAAATATTAGCCAGGCATGTTGGCGGGCGCCTGTAGTCCCAACTACTTGGGAGGCCGAGGCAGGAGAATGGTGTGAACCCAGGAGGCGGAGCTTGCAGTGAGCCGAAATCGCGCCACTACACTCCAGCCTGGGCGACAGAGTGAGATTCCATCTCAGAAAAAAAAAAAAAAAATTGAGTAGGGCACAGTGGCTCATACCTGTAACCCCAGCACTTTGGGAGACCAAGGTGAGCAGATCACCTGAGGTCAGGAATTCCTGACCAACATGTTTAAACCCAGTCTCTATTAAAATACAAAATTAGCCAGGTGTGGTGGTGCATGCCTGTAGTCCCAAGTACACTGAGGCACAAGAATCACTTCAACCCAGGAAGCGGAGGTTGCAGTGAGCCGAGATCATGCAACAGCACTCCAGCCTAGGCAACAGAGCAAGACTCTGTCTCAAAAAAGAAAAAAATATGTCTAAAAGAAGATATTGATTTCTCTTTTTAAGATTCCCTCGCCAAATTGAATAAGCTTCAGAATTATACTTTGGGATATGACAGTATAACTGGTACTAAACTAGCCATCCATCCAAAACAATCATAAGAGTGGACAAAATATATAAGGTAACTTACTCGGGTATTAATCAACAGGCAGACAACTGTGATTCCCGAGAGAAGTGAAACACAAGAGATGAGCCCATGATCACCCCAGCTCTGTACCTGGGGACATTTCCCCGTTACGGTACAGTGAGCTGAAGTCCAAGTAGAGCAACAGTAAGGTTGGGAAAGGTGTACTCCAACCAGAGGAAAGAGGCTCAAGTGCAGTAGTAAACTGAGGAGACAGAGATTAGAATTTAAGTGGTTGAAATCTGCAGGTAAGGCCCTAGAGAAGAGTGAATTGTGCAGACAGGAGGCCTCTGTGTGGAAGTTGCCCAAGGGTCCTTGGTTCAAGCGTAGGTTGCACATGTACAAGGTAAGGCAAATAAAAACTGCTTAAGGGTCAAGAATGGAACAGAAATAATTAGAAGTCAAACACTACTGAGGGGCCATGGAACTCCTAAGACTTCTGGCTAAGTCAGAGTGATGAGACCATACTATTCCAAAAGAATGGAGATCAATCCTGGGTACTTGTGAGAGGAAGGGGAAGGATGTCTCCAAGCTTTTGTGTATGTGAAATTGTCCAGGACGTTTTAAAAAAGGAAAAAAAAAAAAAAAAAAAAGACTGCCACAAATTCTGAAGGGAATTTCAAAACGAAAATTTCGAGAACACTTTGAATATCTAAAATATTCCTAATGTGCATATAGTATACCCTGAATTTTTTAAAACACATCAGAATAAAAATCAAACTGAACACTGTCCTATTTACTCAATAATACTAAAGTGTATATTAATTGAAAAATGATTTAAAACCTAAAGAAACAGGGAGAGAGAAGAGACAAGAAATAGATAAATCCACAGCAGAATAACAACACAGTAATTAGGACAGAACTAAGCTTCATATACTGTGTACCTCTTATGGTATTTATTACAGCCTATCTTGAATTCTGGTTATTATAATATCCTCAATTAAATTGTAAGCCCATGATATCAGGAACTAAGCCTGATAGTGTAGAGGCCTGATAATCACCTAATCAATGGAGGATAATGAGAAAAATTCAGTTGTGACTTTTACCATCCTATTGATAAGCAAAACTAGTTGGCTAAGCTGGTGTTTCTTTGCTCCTTCGCCTTTTTATGTGAGACCCATCTAGGACCACATGTTAGGGCAAAGGAGATAAATATTTCAAAAATAAAACAGGACTACTGTTCAGTTAAGGATGTATGAAGAACTGCACTCATTCTGTTGCTCTCTAGAACTGTTCTCCAATATAGAAGACAGAAGCTTCATTTGGCTGTTTAAATTTTAATTTTAATTAATTAAAATGGAATAAAATTAAAATTTGAGTTCTTCAATCAAACCAGACAAACTTCAAGTGTTCAAGAGCCCCATGTGGCTAGTGACCATCATAAGGGACAATGTAGATATAGGACAATTCCAAGTTCTATTGGGTAGGACTGGTCTAGAGATTAGAATTGAATTGAATTGAAATTTAACCTAGAATACTAGGTATACCTGTCTTCAAGATACCCATTTAGCATTGGAAACAGAGAGCCAGGCGATCAGCTGCAGGTCTTGGAGTAAGTGTCAAAGACAGAAAGATAAGGTGTAATTCTAGAAGCTAGAAAAGTACTGTGGGTTCCTAGAAAGAAAAAGAAAGCAGAATCATAGTATCTGGTATTAAAAAATGGTATCCAATAGGGACCAGAGACCAAGGAAAAAGATTAAGGATGAAATAAAAGACCGCATTTCAGAAGGCAGAGCTCCAAGTGTCTGGAGTACACAGAGATATGGGAGAAAGACTTTCCCCTCTTCAATCCAAACAGGTAAGACTCCAAACAGGTAGAAGAGAAAAGCCAGAACCTCTGAGGGTAGGAACACTGCTTTTCCCACAATGGATCATATAACATAGTATGGAAGAAATCTCTAATTGTAAATGCTTAAGAAAGCAAAAATGGCATGAGAACATATCCTGCAATAATTTCTAGGGAGACATTTTCTGGTTTTGAAAAAACACCTTTTTCCATTTCCTAAATTAGAGGAAAAATGAAGCAATCTGGAAAAACATATCTTAGGTAACAAAATATTTTTGAAAACAGGAAATTGAGAAACTAGAAGCAGCCTTTGACCCACACAAAACTTTTGACCAAAATCAACTCAGTTGTGGCATGCAACATATTGAGTACAGTTACAAGCAAAGCCCCATGTGAAGATTTCATGAAAGCAAGAACTCAAAACGGGACTCTCATCTGGGAGAAATATGGTAGACCTATACATACATGTAAGTACTAAATCTAACTAGAAATAGTAAATAATGATCATTGTTTAATATAGCATTCATTAAAGAAAAAGCTTTTTTAAGGGACATTTTTTAAATGTAATTATCTTAGTGAATGCTCTTTTAGAAAAATGCTTAATGTGACTATGAGTTCTAGGGAATTACCATAACAATTCTGTACAAATTACAATTATAAACACAATTTTGTACCAAATGAAAATTACAGTGAGTTTTATCTCTATTAGCTAGAAAATATACTGTTTCATTTTTTTGTTTGTTTTGTTTTGTTCTTAAGATAGGGTCTGGCTCTGTTACCCACGATGGAGGACAGTGGCACATTCACGGCTCACTGCAGCCTCAACTTCCTGGGCTCAAGCGATGCTCCCACCTCAACCTCATGAGTAGCTGGGATTACAGGCATGCACCACCCACACAGCTCATTTTCCATTTTTTGTAGAGACAAGGTCTTGCTATGTTGCCTAGGCTGGTCTTGAACTCATGGGCTCAAGTGATCCTCCCACTTCAGCCTCCCAAAATGTTGAGATTATAGGCATAAGCCACCACACCCAGCCTAGTCTTTCATTTTGAGGCTCAGATTTTGACAATAATTCTAAAAAATGACATGGTCAGTAAGTCTGTAACGAAAAGTTTAACCACAGGCTGTCCATCTCCTCCAGTTATAGCAGCAGGCTGGCTGGCTATGCAGAAATCATCTATATATTCAATTTTACATTTGAATTATATATGAATTTTTAATGGTATCTCTACTTTTTTGAGTTCTACATGTACTCTGTTCTCCATTATGCATTTCATTTTTCTATACAATTGAACAGTAAAATTATTTTTTCATTGTATAGCTAGTTTATGTAAAACTTTTTTCCCCCACCTCTTTCATGAACCAAAAAAGGAACATTTGTAAGAACATTTATCTCCTGCAGTATTTCTCTGGTCCTGTGTTCATACTGACATCTGGTGGCACTAGAAAAGAAACTCCATTATTGCTATGACAAAGGAATTTTTTTTTCCAGTGTTGTCCATTTATTCTATGTATCCTCAAGTTTATGTTTTTCCAGCACTTTACTTATACCCAAGGCAGCAGAACAATTATTAAAATCTTTAGTCTGAAATGTAGTATTTTATTGATATACAGAATTTTTTAAAAATTATACTAAAAAGTTATATTTCTGTTTTATAAATTTCTTCATGTCTGCCCAGTGGCTAACAATCTTAAAGATGCATACTGATGGGAAAAACCATGATCTTCTGGGCAAAACTCATTATGTTAGGGATATAACAAAAACGTTGTGGCGAATATCCCAATCCAATCATCCACGTTATCACTGACATTTCTCATGGTTTCTAACAGACAGGGAGAAGTCTAATGGCCAATTAGACATCAGAGACCATATCCAGAAAAATACATCCTTCAATCAAATGAAAGTATTAAAAGACAAAAAGCTAAAATTCCACTATCCTATTATATATTGTTTATTTTTCCGTATGTCTCCCCAGCAGCAGAGTCAAGAAACATTTGATTTAGATAACACATCCCTAAACTTACACCTTCTTCTAGGGCTATAACACTGTAATTCTACTACTTTCAGAAATTATTCAACTTTTTGAAGCATTCATACAGCAGTATTCTCCTTACTAGATCCACCTTGTAAGAATGACCCATACTAAGGCTTAGAGAAACAAAATATTCTGGGAGTTCCCTATCAAAGAAAAAGTGTATGGACAGACTATCCTTAATCCCAAAGAGTCCTATTTATGTAGGAGCAACATTTCCATTTTAGCCATACTAACCAATGATAATCACATATCATTAGTTGGCCAATGGCATTAGTAATCATGAAGAATGAAGAGACAATTGCATTAACCATGTAACAATCCAGTTTGATAGCCACAAAGGCATGGCATGCTGTACAGCAGGGCTACTCAACATTGTCACAAACTGGCTGTCAATGTGCAAATTGTTATCAGTCCTCAACAAGGTAAGAAGTTTTGAACAGAATATAAACAACTATGTCTCTAAGCACACTTTATTTTAGCTGACATTTTCCTTGAGACAGGACTTCCTTGATGAAGAAACCAATATATTGATTTATATAATGGTTCAAGCTTCTTATATAAATCGACTGACATTTTGAGTGGCACTGCTCTACGGTACCTAACTAGAACAGAGATTGTATTGTATGGACTGGGGTTGAGGGAGATTTTATCTAGGTCTATTCACTGCTACCATATACTAGAATTCAAATTATTACAAAAATACTGAAATCGAGAATTTCTGTTTTACTTTAAAAATGAATATGGACTTCCAATTTTAATATTGTAGCACAATATAGGCATTTCCCTTTACTTTTCTTAGAAATCATCCAAAAGCAATTAATCCAACATCAGCAAGAAAAATAAAATAAAAACACACTCTCCATTTTTAGTAAAACTATAATTCTAGTTTTAGATTTTTGAACTCCAGATCAAAATTTGTAAAAGGGGCTCCAAAAGAATGACGATCAATCCTGGGTACTTGTGGGAGAAAGAGGACAGATGTGTCAGCTGCACATCTAAGAAAAAGCTAGCAAAGAACACTTCTCAAAGGTCAGGGGCTCCCTCTGAGGAACAAAACTAAGTACCAGGAAAAAATGCACAGGCTAGCAGCAGGAACTTCTCTGGACCAGTTGAAATCCGAAAATCAGAGGGACTGGATCCAAAAAAAGAATCACACAAAGTGGTCTATCTCTGCTACCACAAATGGGAAACTGTATTGCAAAAATCCCACAGCTGCCAACCCCCAATGGCTAGTGAAAGATACTAGCTAAATGAATTCATGTCCAAAAATCCTGAGTCTAAAGGAAAACTCCATAATATGGAATGTGCCTCTACCTCCTTCCTATTATAAACCTCCTGAAAGCAGCTAATTGAGCAAAAACTCACATATTCCCAAGATGAATTATCACAAAGGTACCAGCACAAATCCATACAAAGATACAAGAATAAAGGAAGAAAAGTTATAGAAAAACAATAGACCAACAACAAAAGAAAGCAAAAACCTCTCATCTGAAAAATATTACCACAAACCAAAGGAAAATTGTAGCTAAATCTACAACTGTAAATTTTAAAAAAGAAGTTAAGGAAGCAATTGTCTCTGTGAAAACAGCACCAACACTGAAATACAAGTGCTCAGTAAAAAAATGGCTGACAGGAAATGATATAATTTAAACTGAATTCAGAAAATACCTGGGAAAAGCAAAAACAATCATAAAAAATCCAATTGAAATTGAAAGAAACACTAGACAGAATAGACATTTCTGAAGAGGAACATAGAGGCTTAAAAAAAAAACAGGAAAAGTAAAACAAAAACACAGAGAAAGAAAAATAGAGAAAAAACAATAGACATTGAAAACAGATAAGATACCAACATGTAAACACGCTGGCCCAAGAACACCACCATAATAACAGAACAGACAAATATTTAAAGATATAATTCCAGAAAGATTAACTAAAATTTAAAATATCCAAGTCTACATATTGAAAGGACACACACTGTGTCAGAGAAAACTGATAAGGAATGGACAAGCAAAAGTATTGTCACAAAAAGAGAAGAAAATTAGGCTAGCTTCAGACTTCAACTCTAGAACAGAATGGATCATCATTTTTAAAGTTCTCAAGGAAAGGGATGTAATTCAAGGATTTTGTACCTGATCAAACTGCTGTTCAAGTTTGAATCATTATTCAATTTAAGTGATTCAATTTTTTTACCTTTTTTTTTTTTTTTTTTGCAGAGATGGGGTGGTCTCACTCTGTTGCCCAGGCTGGTCTCGAACTCCTGGCCTCAAGTGATCCTCTCACCTCAGCTTCCCAAAGTGCTGGGAATACACGCGTGAGCAACAGCGCCCAGCCAAATTATTCAATTTTGAACATGTAAAAACTCAGGGAATAGTACTGCCATAGGTCCTGTTAAAGGACTGTGTTAAAGGAATTATTTAGCTAACCAAACAAGGCTGGAAAAAACATGCCAAAATAACTGGTGATAAACTTCTAAGCTATTTAACCGTGGAACTAAGAATAAAGTTAAATGATGCATTTAAGATGCCAGAACAAAATGCAAAATGTTATTCCCACTAACAATGCAAATATAACTGACAAAAGTTGGAAAAGCGGGGGGAGAAAGAGAGTTATGTAAGAACAATATAAGGATACTGATTTCCTCATCTTTAAAAGCTGGAGGTTTAAATCTATTAATCAAATGTGACTAATAAAATAACACATTATATAAATACATTTAATTATATGAAGGTAAAACCAGAAAGATAATAAGTATCCTAGTTTCATAATTGCTTACATTAAAGAATTAAAAGCCAGGTGCAGTGCCTCACTCCTGTAATCCCAGTTCTTCGGGAGGCCGAGGCAGGCGGATCACTTCAGGTCAGGATTTTGAGACCAGCCTGGCCAACATGGTGAAACCTCATCGCCACTAAATGTACAAAAATTAGCCTGGCATGGTGGCAGGCACCTGTAAGCTCAGCTACTCGGGAGGCTAAGGCACAAGAATCCCTTGAACCCTGGAGGTGGAAGTTGCAGTAGGCAGAGATCGCACCACTGCACTCCAGCCTGGGTGACAGAGTGAGACTCTGTCTCAAAAAAAAAAAAAAAAGTAATTAAAAGACATTGTGTTAAAACATAGAAAGGTGGCTGGGCGCAGTGGCTCACGCCTGTAATCCCAGCACTTTGGGAAGCCGAGGCAGGTGGACTGCGAGGTCAGGAGATCTAGACCATCCTGGCTAACACGGTGAAACCTCATCTCTACTAAAAATACAAAAAAAAAAAAAATTAGCCAGGCGTGGTCACAGGCGCCTGTAATCCCAGCTACTTGAGAGGCTGAGGCAGGAGAATGGCATGAACCCGGGACGCAGAGCTTGCAGTGAGCCGAGATAGTGCCACTGCACTCCAGCCTGGGCAGACAGAGCGAGACTCTGTCTCAAAAAAATAAATAAAAAAATTAAAAAAAATAAAACATAGGTGTAATATAAAGTTGTATCAAGAACCATAAAACTAAAAAAACAAACAAAAGTAAAACCAGAACATGAAATTAACACTTTTTAAATGTAACTTTTAGTAAACTCCATACTTTCAATCTAAGAAAACTCAAACCCGTATTTTAAAGAACATGTCCTCAAGTAAAAATGCTTACATGACAATCACTGAAGATTAATCTTCCAGTTGAAAAATCTAAAAAAAAACCTCCAAAGCAAAGTTTTATTAACATAATATATAAAGAGATATGAATGTGAAACCACAAAATTCATAGCACATCAAAAAATAGCCTTATGAATGATCACTTATCCATGAAGACACTAATGAAAAGTGAATCACATGGTGGTTTGTTCAATTTTAGAATATGTCAGCAGAGTCAAAGTTAAAGCATATGCTATGTGAGCTGAAGTATGACACATTTTACAGTTAAATATTGAAATAGGCAGCCTCACCCAACACTATTTATAAAACATTCTGTTCTTATTAAATATTACACAGAATAAGCAAACTCAGAAAAACAAAAAATGAAAAACCATCCATCAAAAGCCAAAAGCGCATGCCATGCAGTTCCCATGGAGTGTCCTATGAAATCACACTAGTTTGGATTTGAGCCTCCAATTTAGCAATGTTTTCTAAATATAACAAAATAAAAAGGAAATCTATTTCCTAAATATTAGCTGGATTTTTCACTTAGAATTTATTATAGCTATCAACAAGAATATCTTTATTTCCAAAGCAGTTTTACCTACCCTTAGAATATTTATTATGTGTATATGGAGCAAGGGGAAGGGAAAGAGAGCAGGGGAAGGACAAGACAAGGGTAGAGAAAAGAAATAAGGCAGCAAGACTCCTTGTTAAAAAATAAACTCTAACCTGTGTGCTAGCAAAAAGATGTTCTGGAAGGACAATATTCATGTAGAAAGATGAGATGTTCCCTGAATTTCCCCTTTCTCGTGAGGTTTTCTCATTTTGATTCCTACTGCCATTAAGTTGAAGAGTTCCCTTTTAAAGCTCATCTTTATTAAAATGTTGGTGAGCTCTGTGTAAAGAAGATAGTCCCATTACAAACAGTGGAGCAGTCGACTTTCCAGAGTCCCTCCATTTAGCTTTATGTTCAGTCATAATCAGATCCAACACACCTCTCATGTCAACAACTTTTCCGGTCACCTGGGAGATTTCCATAGTTCCATATTCACTTTCTACCCCTAGATCCTCTGGGTTTATATTCTATAGCCTCTAGCAATAGGCTAGTGCTAACTGGGCCATCAGGACAGGTCCTATAACATGTAATAGAGTATAGCTTCCCTTGAGGGAGAGAAACAAAATACCTCAAACAACATATTCCAAATTTTCAGTTTTGGAAGCTAACTCTACAGATGGGAAAGGAAGCTATTCTAGACAGGTTAACCTTCCTTTCTCACTTTAAGTCCAACTAGTCCAGCTACTCTTCCTCATCTAGAAATTATTTGTAGTTTGATACAAACCTTGAATTATTTTGGATTTTGTTTTAATTTTAAAACTCTTCCATTATAGACTGAAGCAGGAATCACTATATGGTTATTTAAAAGATAAAAAGATTGTCCAAGTGCAGTGGCTCATGCCTGTAATCCTAGCACTTTGGGAAACTAAGGGAGGAGGATCGCTTGAAGACAAGCCTGGGCAACATAGCAAGACCCCAACTCTACAAAAATTAAACATTAAAAAAAAATTAGCTGGGTGTGGTGGCGGTGCTTGTGGTCCCAGCTACTCAAGAGGCTGAGGCAGGAGGATAACTTGAGCCCAATAGTTTGAGGCTGTAGTGAGCTATGATTTTGCCACTGCACTCCAGCCTCGGCAAAAGAGCAAGACCCTACATCAAAAAATAAAAAAAGGTAAAGGTGAGCAAGGCAGAGTGCTAAAGTTTGTCCTATTATTCATGATGCAGAGAAGACACTGACACCCATATTATCTAACTAAAGAGTTATATGTCCATTCCTATTTTTTCCATACACAACACTGATGTATACATGCCCATTCTTCCACACACTGTTTTTTGGGGGGTTTTTTCTTTTTTTTTTTTTTGAGACAGAGTTATTGTTGTCCAAGCTGGAGTGCAATGGCGCAATCTTGGCTTACTGCAATGTCCGCCCTCCCGGATTCAAGTGATTCTCCAGCCTCAGCCTCCCAAGTAGCTCAGATTACAGGCATGTGCCACCACACCCAGCTAATTTTTTGTATTTTTAGTAGAAACGAGGTTTCACCATGTTAGCCAGGCTGGTCTCGAACCCCTGACCTCAGGTGATCCGCCCGCCTCGGCCTCCCAAAGTGCTGAGATTACAAATGTGAGCTACCACACCTGGCCCTTCCACATTATGTTTTTACAAACACTAAGGCTCTACTTTCCTTTTTTTAAATACTATATTGGCCAGGCACGGTATTTTGTATTAGTCAATACAAAAGATTTATTTCTTAGTCAATACAAATTTACCATTTACAAAATGGTAAATTCACTGCCACAGAAACAAAATAAATCCTACTACTAAAAATAAGTGATTTAAAGTTATTTACTGGTTTGAATTATCTCCCATCCCTTGCTTCATTAACATAAAAAAGTACAAGTTAACTACATGTTGAAATATAAACCCCTAAAAACTATGCATCTCTAATTTTCTCCAAATACTAATAAAAGTAGGCACAATACTGAATTTCATAAATGGGACTCTAATAATAATAATAATAATTTGAAACTGTAAACTATGTGGCCAGAATAGCATTTCTCAAATAGTCCCATGGAATATCAATGTTTCTGGAGGTATTCCTAAATGTTCCATAAAGAAAAAGAATACAGCTGGGCACAGTGGCTCATGCCTGTAATCCCAGCACTTAGAGAGGCTGAGGCAGGCAGATCGCCTGAGGTCAGGAGTTCCAGATTAGCCTGGCCAACATGGTGAAACCCCATCTCTACTAAAAATATAAAAATTAGCCAGGCGTGGTGGCGGGGGCTTGTAATCCCAGCTACTCGGGAGGCTGAGGCAGGAGAAACACTTGAACCCGGGAGGCAGAGGTTGCAGTGAGCCGAGATTGTGCCATTGCACTCCAGGCTGGACAACGAGACTGAAAGAACAGTACAGTCAAATACGTTTCAAAGCTCTGCGATAAACAAATGTTGTTTAAGAGAGGTCTTCTCAGAATCCTTCATTCTTTTATTTAACAAATAATTTACTGAATACCTACCATATACCAGGCACTAAACTGAGTTTGGGAGTTACAACAGTGAACAAGATGAATAAAATCCCTGCCTTAATGGAACACTCTTTCTAGTTAAGGGGGCAGTAAATAAACAAGGGAGTAATAATTAACTGGAGTCAGTGATGAAGACACTAAAAGAGAATGCATAAAGAGATCAGTGGATACTTCAGACAGGGTGGGCACAATAAGTCACATATGTAATGTCTTCATGTTTTTCTACACTGGGGGATATAGCACATAGTGTTTCGCAAATGTATGTGATTAGGAAACCTTTTGTCAATAAACATGTTTTTAATAGTTCACTGAATCAGTTTTCTACCCAAAACACAGACAACAGCAAGATCAAGATTCAAAGATAGCTCTTCTCTTCCTAAATCCAGTCTTTTTAAAGTTTCCTCACCTGTAAAAGTGGGAATAATAATAGTACATGTCTCAGAATCACAGTGAAGATCCAATTATCTGCTTCATGTAAAACACCCACACAAGGCTTAGTATACACTCTGCTTAATAAATGTTATTGTTACTGTTAATACAGCACTCTGCACATGAAGTCTTCTGTCATTCAAGGGTGACTAATTATTCTCCCTTTTAAAATCTCAAACTTGTAAAATCACCTTTTTTACTCCTCCACGTAGACGATTTCTTGAGGAAAGCGGCTAGAATGGAGATTGCGTATAGCTGAGCCTCAATAAATGCTTCCTCTGTAGTTGTACAGAATATCCAAAGTAGGTTAAATGCAGGTGCAGGGGAAAAAAGAAACTTAATATAAAAAAGCAATCACTCCTCTAGGAAACCCAAGCTACATTAAACCAAAGCTTCCATGAAACGTGTAAAATACTTTTCGCATATTCAAAGTACTTTCATAAATTAACATTACTAGTAATGTGTCATATTATTCCTGGTAAGATGCACTAAGATACCATGGCACTTCTGTGGTATTCCTGCCAGAAACACAAACCCTGAACCTTATCAGGAAGAAACATCAGACAAACCCAAATCGAAGGATATTATACAAAATCAATGACCTGAACTCTTAAAAAAGTTAAAATCATAAAAGACTAAAAAACTGTTCCAAATTAAAGGAAGCCAAAGAGACATAACAACTAAATATAACAAGTGATCTTGGATTCATCACGGACCAAAATCTTTTTTTCTGTTGCTATAAAAGACATTCACGAAAAAATTGAATGAGGGCTGTAGACCAAATAATACTATTCTATCCATGTTAACTTCCTGATAAGATTATGATCATCATATGGTAGTCAGAATTTTATTGCTTTTAGGAGTTCACACTGAAGTAGAAGTAAAGGAGCGTGATGTCTACCACTTAATCTCAAAAGGATTAAAAAAAATACAAAGAAGGAAATTAAATGACAAACCTGGCAAAAGAAGAAAATCTGGGTGAAAAGTATATAAGGAACCCTTTGTACTGTTATTGACTACTTCCATAAGTCTGAAATTATTTCAAAACAAAACGTCTAAATACAAAAGTAATGAGGAAAAAGGAAAGATGGAAAATAATCATATGAATAGATGCTCAACATCATTGGCAATTAGGAAAATGCAAATAAAAACCACAGTGAGATACTACTAAACCTCCATTAGAATTACTAAGATGTAAGGGAGAAAAAGAAAAAGCTGGCAATAGCAAATGTTGGCAAGGATATGGGGCAACTAAAAGTCTCAAACATTACTGAACGAAATGCAAACCAGTAGAAAAAAACTTCCAACTTGTTTCCCAAAGTTAAACATATATTTACCATATGTCATACCAATCCTAAGTATTAACCCAAGAGAAATAAAAACTTATATTGATACAAAACCTGTCTGCAAATGTTTATAGGAGATTTAGTCGTAACCACTAAACAGTGAAAACAACTCAAATATCCAACTGATAAATGGATAAACTGTATCACATCTATTTAATCACATCTATTTAATAGAATACGATTCAGCTAACAAAAAGAAATGGATTATTGATACATGCAACAATATGGATGAATCTCAAAAGTATCATGACAGCTAAAGGAAGCCAGTCTCAAAGGCTATATGGTGTATATTAATTCATATATATGAACAGATCAGTCACTGTCAGGGGTGGAGCTGGGGAGAGGGAAGAAAATATTGATTAAAAATTGGCAGCATGATGGAATTTTGAGGAGTGATGGAATGGTTCTATATCTTGATTGTTGTCATTACAGAATTTTATGAATACATCAAAACTCACAGAACTGTTATATTAAAAAGAATGAATTTTACTAAAGTACATAAATTTAAGTAATATTTTTAAGTCCACAAGGAAAAAAAGTACTTTCACAGACAACTCATTTCATTCTCAGACCAATAACAAAGACTAGATAGGTACTATTACTCTCATTTTATAAGTGAGGATACTGAAACATATAGTAAATAAATAAATATACAAATTACATGTGGCAGGACCAAAACTATAGTCCAGATGCACTGATTCTATTCCAAACGCTTCATTGACTCAATTTTCTCATGTTCCACTAAACTTTATGGGACACAATGTCCCTGAAGACAAATAGAATCGAATAGAAAAAAGGAGGAAAAGAAGAAAAAAGACAGTTATTGGAAGAAAGCCATTTAGAATTTGGCTGTCGTCCTTAAGGAATTAAAAAACAGTCTGTAACAGAAGAGGTCTGAATTAAAAAACAGATCCATACAGGCAACACATTAACTGGCATTAAAGTATTAGCTGGTGATTTCTTCCATAAAAGCTTCTTAATTTTTTAATGTTAAGAAAAGGCAAAAGCAAACATAAAGCATTCACAGGTAACCTTGCAACTACTGCTACAATTTAAGTGATACCTGGTCTTCAGAACTACAGTGAGAACAATGATGGTGCCTACAATTCGAAACAGATTTTGCAACTTTAAATAAACAAAGTCCCAGAAGCTACCACCCAAGAATAGAAAACAAGAGCAAAACCTTTAAAAATATCTTTTCAGTTTCAAAAATCAAGGAAGTAGTGGTATGATAGTTGCCAAAAGAACATACTATAAGCACAACAGCTGAAGGAAAAATTAAGCTTAGTTTAACAAAAAAATAATAATGATGAAAAATTGCATCTGCACCACAAATAGCATACTTACCTAAAAACAATGGTGTCGTTTCTTCTAAAGTAGTTGCATTAGGATCTGCCCCAGCTTCTAAAAGAATCTGTACGATTTTCCAATGTCCTTGACTTGCAGCGAGATGCAAAGCACAGAAACCTTCAAAGGTCTTCATCTTAATGTAGTTTTCAGATGAATCTGTGGAAGAATCAAAGCCCATCAACTAGAAGGTATTACTTCTATTTCCTGGTTTTAAAAAGCAAAGATTCCAAGAGGAATTTAATGAACTATTAAAATGTAAGTAATGTATAAATGACAGGTTTCACCATTTAAAACTATAGAAAATCAAGAAAAAGTTCTACAGAGATCCCACTGTGAACAGCTCTTTGGTATTCTTAATACACAAATCCTGTCCACTAGCTCCCATTTTCTCTTCTCTAATTTTTGGTGAATAAGGGAAGAGGAGTGGCAGAAATTGAAAGGTAACAAAAGCAATAGTCTGAGGAGGATGCAGCACTAAATATTTGCTTAAACAGAATTTATCGAAATATTCATCAATTTTATTTTTTTATTTTTAAATTTCTATAAGGGAAATGGTCTGATCTCTTACCATTACTTCCTTGTAGTCAACTAATACCATGAGGCAGTTTTAAATACTCCTTTTCTAACTTAAGACTATGGTTTAATTGTTAATGAAAACTGCAGTTCTAAAAGAATAAAATGCACTCTAACACAACCAGTGACATATAATAAGGAATTTATGAGTTAAAGTTTCCGAAATGTATTTGTCATGAAAACGTCAAGGTTCTGGTAACACTCAAATTATACAAATGATATTTACACAATAAAATTCTATGCCCATTATAGAAAGATGGGCTCTAAAGTGAAGGGTGAAGACATTTCTGAGAGCTGGAATAAACTAAACAGAAAATAAAAAAAAAAACTTAAACATTTTCTTGAAGTGTCAGAATTGAAACAAATGCTCCTAACTAGTTATCTATTTTAAGTAATTCTTGTCATTGTAACTCACTGATGAAACAAGTAGATTAAGCCATGATATCCCAGTAACAGCTTCTAAGTACATATATTCAAAGAAAACAGTCTCAAACTTCACAGATGCACAACTAAAGGGCAAGATAGAGTAGTCATATTTTAAAAGGACATATCACAGAAATAGGGTTTCAGAGATTAGTCAGAAGTTGACTCTTATTCAAAGTAGTTTATTGAGATTAGTCGGAGATTAGTCAGACATGACCCTTATTTCATGTATTAACCTGACAGTTTTGTGAATACAAATGACATGAAAACCTAGGAACACAAAGACATATATAGATAATAGACATCAGTAGATTGGCTCCTAAATGGAAAATTTCAATATTATAAAGATGCTGATTCTTCCCAAAATAATTAATAAACTTAATACACTTCTAATAAAAATGCCAGTAGAGCTATTTGCTTGTTTTATACTTGATAAAGTAACTCAAGTTGATAAGTCTAGGGTAGTGATGCAGGATTTTTTGCTCCTTAGTTCAGCTAAAATCCGGGTTCTTGTGTCACCACCAGGACAAATTAGGCATGTGGACACATTGAAAGGTGAGGAGAGCAGAATTTATTAAAGGAAAGCTCCCAGCTAAAAAAGGGGGTCCTGCCAACAGGTTCCCACCCCACAGATTGAATACCAGACCACCACACATGAGCTGAAGAGGCCAGGCTCCTCCCCACTGCATAAGGTGAGAATTCCCAGTGGCTTCACCCCATTCTTCCAGTGCACAGGCAGCCCCTTATTCTGAGCCACTCCACATTGATTTATTTCCCTTTCTGTGCACGTGTTAAGGCACGGAATTTTTCGCCCCCATGGGCATGTTTAGGCAAGCCCCCTGTGCACAATGACCTGGGCAGCATTTGGCTGTCTCCTCTCTCTATCAGTAGGGCAGGTAAGAGTAACAAATAATTTAGAAAAATGAACAACACAAGCATTGAAGCGTGCCTAGACTTACTATATATTAAACCATGTCTTAAAGTTAGAAAAAGTGAAGTAATGTGCTCCTGGTACAAATGCAGAAAGGAAGGTACCCATCAGGGAAAGGAATCAACAGAAGCAGTAAGAGACTAAGAAAGATGGTCACTAAAAGGTCAGAGACCTAGACCGATGTTACATTACAGAAGCCAAGGAACTTTCTCTTGTAAAGTAGAAAAGATGTTCTCCTCCACTTAAAAAGAAAAAAAAGACATAAAGTTTAATCCTGACCATTTAAATATTATGCCTTACAGCAGAAAGAGTGAACCTTAATGTACGCAATTTAAAAAAAAAAAATCAACCAGGAGGTAAAAGGAAGGGTGATCCTAGGATAGCATGCAGACTGTGACAAAAGAATCTAATTGAATTACAAATATATGTCATAACCACACTGAGAGATAGAGAAAAAAGACACTGGTCTACATAACTTTGATAAATGATGCTATGACTGAAAACTGTAAGACTAAAGACAAAAAGAACTGCACATAAACACTATAGTCTAGTTGGTAAAGTTGTTTCTAGGAGTAGAGATTAACAATTCTGAAACCACTCTACATGAATACTAAGAACAAACAAATAAATAAACAGATGGCAGATCTGGGGGCCAGGTTTCTTACTGTTGGAGAGGAAGGTTACATATAAGGAAAGAGGGAAGGCTAGAATGAACCATGTGTTCTGGAGTAGAGTCCAGACATCAGTATGAATTCATGTTTAGCTTAATATAGATACAGATGGCTAGACACGGAAACAACTATAGATGTATATATACATGGGTTATAATATATAAATATATGTTCTAGATCTGTCTGCTGAAAGGGCTTAAAATCAATGACAGTCCAGTAGCAACAAGCACACCCAGTCCTCAGATCTTGGTTTTCTCTCTTTCTTTCTGTTTTTTTTTTTTGAGACAGTGTTGCCCAGGATGGAGTGCAGTGGCGTGATCTCAGCTCACTGCAACCTCCACCTCCCAGGTTCAAGCGATTCTCCTGCTTCAGCCTCCCGAGTAGCTGGGATTATAGGCGCACCACCACACCTGGGTAATTTTTTGTATTTTTTTTTTAGTAGAGACATGTTTTTGCCATGTTGGCCAGGCTGGTCTCAAACTCCTGGCCTCAGGTGATCTGCCCGACTTGGCCTCCCAAAGTGCTGAGATTACAGGCGTGAGCCACCATGCCTGGCCTTACATCTTGGTTTTCACTATCATTCTCCCGTAAAAGAAACCAGCACTCTTATGAAAATGGCTGATTCTAAGGCTGAGGTGGGAAACATACAAAGAGTCGGAGCACACTGTAGGTCCAAAAAGTAAAACGTGCTCAAAAAACAAACAATGGGGGCATGCAAAAGAGACAATAGGAGCCACTCTGAAAGGGCATCCTATGACCAAAACAATATGAGCAACAAAATAAATTACATTGTATTGGATTGTAACCTAAAGTACAGGTATAAAATAAGTAACAATGAGTTCATGCAGATATAAATGACTAAATATATAAATTAACGGGAGAGAAGAGATAAATCTCCCATGTAGAAGAATTCCAAATAATTTATGTAAAGACTACTCCATCAAGGAAGTAGAGTTTAATTCCCACTTCTGGAGTGCAAGCCACCCTTAGTGACTTGCATACACACTCATCTTGGGAAAAGGAAATAAAATCTCCTGTGTGATTATATATGAAGTAAAGAAAATAAAAGGCACTTCTCACACAGGTGAGAAATACTGAAGTCAATTTACTACTAACTTGAGATCTTGAAATATTTTACCTATAGAAAAAAATATATTAAGCTAACTTTAAAATCACTGGACCAGGAAGATAACATTTGAAGTTGGATTGAGGCTGCAACTTTGACTCTGCTAGAAATAATATGGGTTATACTTCGGGCCAATTACTTAAACCTCTCTGAGGCTCAGGTTCCATAACAGTGAAACGAGGATAAATTAGCTGGACCAACTCTCAATAGGGTTCAATAGAATTAGGTATATAGTCTGAATTTTTGTAAAATACAAATGCAGATAGATATGCAATTTAAGTACTGTCAAAGTTGTTACACATTTGGTAAAGTCTCCAAAGTATCATTTTAAGAAAATTTTCACCACCCACTATAAATTAGTTTTGAAAGTTCCAAAGATAAACTGCTTTCCTTAAACTGATACATGAGTTTTAGCAAAGGGATCTTATCTACCTTGTACTGGACCATCAACCACCACCTTCTCACTCTCTTCCCTTCTCTACAGGGGTGCTTCTTGAAAAAGAAATGGCTCATCCTATTCACTGTTTTTAATGCTTTAATCTCTCCTTACCCTCAAAGGAAGGCAAAGTGGCTTCTCCTTCTCAACTTATTGAAACTTTAAATGGTGTGGGTATTAAAGACATTCTTAATGGACAAACACAATGAGCACTTCAGGTCTTTCACAACTTGTGAGTTATTTCCTGGGAATACTTGGAGAATTAGAGCCACCTCAGCTGAACCAATGCCAGCCACTGACGCCTGTGTAGCAATGACAAGAGTTGGCCCAAACACTGCCAATGGAACCACACCCTATGTTTACTGACACAAAGTGTCTTTTTACTTATGAATAATAAACTTGTCTATTACTTCTTATAAAAGTGGTAGTAATGGGTGATAGACCGTTCTTTTTGTTTTCTGCAAACTCTAACAGGGAAAGTCAAACCACAAGGTTTTCAGTAGAGGAGATAGGTTAAGTATTAAGACCAGAATATTTCTCAACAGCTGAGCCAGAATTTGATGACAAATTTACTATGTGCCAATCACAAGTGTAATAAATGTCAAGATTATATCGCCACACCATTTACACAATTTATATCATCTTACTATGTTTTATTTAGGTATTATAAGAAAAGGTTATATATAAAATAATTTCCACAATGCAAGGAATTGTATTATGTGCAAACTTCTCAGACAACCCTCAGCAGAGACTTCATAATGCACACAAGATGCATGGAAGAAGTCAGTGAAGAGGAAGAGGTTGAAAGGCATTACAAAGAAAGTAGACACTGTTAAGAAAAGTGACGAGAAAATACCCGAAACACATATAACACCGAAGGATTAATATCCAGAATACATAAAGAGCTCTTTAAAGATAAGGCAAGGCCTAATGCAGTGGCTCATGCCTGTAATCCCAGCACTTTGGGAGGCCAAGGAAGGAGTATCACTTGAGGCCAGGAGTTTTGAGACCAACCTGGACAAAATAGTAAGACCCCCCCCCCACCTCTACAAAATATAGAAAATAAAAAAATTAGCCTGATGTGATGGCATATGTCTGCGGTCCCAGTTATTCCAGAGACTGAGATGGGAGGATCACTTGAGCCCAAGAGTTGGAGGCTGCAATGAGCCATGATCACACCACTGTACTCCAGCTTGAGCAACAGAGTAAGACCCCATCTCTTTAAAAAAATTTTTTTAATTAAAAAAATAAAAATAAGGTAAGTCTAGAACTTCCAAAGGGAAATCCTGCCTGTCTAACGACATCATTCTAATAGTAGAATCCAGCAGTCTCTGAAGAGACCCATCACTCAGATTTACATTTACTTGAGCTACTATATTCCCTTTCTTTGCTTAAGCTAGTTTGAACTAGGTTTCTTTCACTCAGTACTGAAAGAATCCTGATTAACATAGCATACAATTTAGCAGTATCTATAAATATTTTAACTTGGCATGGTGATGGTTAATTTTACATGTCAACTTGACTGGGTTAAGGGATGCCCAGATAGCTGCTAAAACATTTCTGGGTATATCCATGAAGATGTTTCAGGAAGACATTACCATTTGAATCAGCAGACTGAATAAACAAGACTTGCCCTCACCAATGTGGGCAGGCATCATGTAATCCTTCAAGGACCTAAAAGAAAAAAAAGGCAGGGAACCCCCTTTGGGTCCCCTCCCATTGTATGGGAGCTCTGTTTTCACTCTATTAAATCTTGCAACTGCACACTCTCTGGTCCGTGTTTGTTCCAGTTCAAACTGAGCTTTCACTCACCGTCCACCACTGCTGATCACCGTCGTCGCAGACCCGCTGTTGACTTCTACCCCTCCGATCTGGCAGGGTGTCCACTGCACTTCTGATCCAGCGAGGCGGCGCCCATTGCCACTCCCAGTCGGGCTAGAGGCTCACCATTGTTCCTGCACAGGCTAAGTGCCTGGGGTTCATCCTAATCGAGCTGAACAGAGCTGTAACACTCACCGCATGACCCAAGATTCCATTCCTTGGAATCCGTGAGGTCAAGAACCCGAGGTCAGAGAACAAGAGGCTTGCCACCATCTTGGAAGCAGCCTACCACCATCTTAGGAGCTCTAAGAACAAGGACCCCCCAGTAACATTTTGGTGACCACAAAGGGACCTCAAAAGCGGTGAGTAATATTGGACCACTTTCACTTGCTATTCTGTCCTATCCTTCCTTAGAATTGGAGGAAAATACCGGGCACCTGTCAGCCAGTTAAAAATAATTAGTGTGGCTGCCAGACTTAAGACTCAGGTGTGAGGCTATCTGGGAAAGGGCTTTCTAACAACGTCCAACCCTTCTGGGTTGGGAGCGTTGGTCTGCCTGGAACCAGCTTCTGCTTTCAATTTTCCTGGGGAGGCCGAGGGCCGACTAGAGGCAGAAAGCTGTCGTCCCGAACTCCCGGCGTTAGCTGGTTGAGATCATGGCGCAGCCGAAGTCTCTACTCAACAGTCGCCCGTGCATGCACCCCTACCTTTCCTTCTGACCCATACCTCCTGGGTCCCGACCATGACTTTCTTGAAAGTGTAGCCCAAAATTCTCCTTACTTCTGAATCTACTTCCTCCGATCCCTGCCTCCTAGGTACTAATGGTTCAGACTTCATTTCCTCTCCCAAGTATTAGAGCAAGTTGTATCTCCAAAGGGATCTAAGGAAGTTCTATGCTGTGTCCTTAGGTACCTAGGCTATGAACCCAGGGAATCTTGTCCCTGGTGTCCCAGTTTAGATATACAGCTCTCAACATGGGCAGTTATGTGGGACCCATTCCCCACCACCCTTGCCAGGGCCCCAAGTTTGTAAATGGCTAGGAGGATTGCTCTCTCATCATGTAAGATGCTCTCCTCCCCTGATTTTTACCCAGCTTATCCCTCTGCAATACAATCTCCAAGCCTTGGCTCCTTGGCCAGGGCCTTGAAACTCATGACCCAGTACTTTAACAACTGGAACTGGGTCTATGACAACATAATAGATCAGGATGAAAGCGAATTAAGTAACTCAAGGAGAGAAGAGACAGAGAGAGAGAGAAAAGAGAGGGAGAGAGAGAAAAAGAGAGATAGAAGTAGTAAAGAAAAAACAGTGCACCCTATTCCTTTAAAAGCCAGGGTAAATTTAAAACCTATAATTGATAACTGAAGGTCTTCTCTGTGACCCTATAACACTCCAATACTACCTTGTTGTCAGTGTAAACAAGGGCGTAGCCTGAAAACACTGAGACCACTGACAACACATAGCCTTCCTATCAAAAATCCTTAACCCAGTAACCCACGGAAAAAGGCACATGGGATAAACAGGATCCATCTCTCAAATTTCATACCGGCAAGGACTTAATCCGGGGCAACAAAAAGTTTAAGATTGATAATTAGGGCGTATTCCTACAAGGGAAAAGGACAAAGGCCCTAGTGGGCAAAAACTCTACCTCAATCCTAACTCAAAAGGTTACCTACACCCTCTCTGAAAAGAATTTGCATAAGAACTGTTGTTTATGGGAACGCATCTTGATGGGGCAGCTGGGTTGTTATAAAATACTCAGGAACCCAGCCCAGCTCTAGAACTCACCCTTGAGCGCAAAGGCAATATTGGGCATGCTGGTAAAGGACCACTAGAATCCAGCAGCCCGGACCCCTTTCTTTGTGGTCAAGAAAGGTGGGAAAAGGGGTGCAGGACTGCTACATTGGTGAGTGTAACTAATCCGATAAGCAGAGGTCCATGGGTAGTTGTACACCCTGGAAAGGAATAAGCACTAGGACCACAGAGGACGCTCTAGTCCTCTGGGATAATGCTCATTGGAAAATGACTAGAGGTGCTGGCATCCCTATGTTCTTTTTTCAGATGGGACATGTTCCCCACAAGGCAAAAACGCCCCTAAGATATATTCTGGAGAATTCGGCCCAGAGTGTATGTACCTTTTTCCCTGTCAGACTTGAAGCAAATTAAAATAGACCTAGGTAAATTATCAGATAACCCTGATGGCTATATTGATGTTTTACAAGGGTTAGAACAATGCTTTTATCGGACATAGACAGATATAATGTTGCTGCTAGATCAGACGCTAACCACAAAAGAGAGAAGTGCCACCATAACTGCAGCCAGAGAGTTTGGCAATCTCTGGTATCTCAGTCAGGTCAATGATAGGATGACAACAGAAGAAAGAGAACAATTCTCCACAGGCCAGGAGGCAGTTCCCAGTGTAGACCCTCACTGGGACGCAAAATCAGAACATGGAGATTGGTGCCGCAGACATTTGCTAACTTGCGTGCAAGAAGGCTAAGGAAAACTAGGAGGAAGACTATGAATTATTCAATGATGTCCACTATAACACAGGAAAAGGAAGAAAAATCCTACCGCCTTTCTGGAGACACTAAGGGAGGCTTTGAGAAAGCATACCTCTCTGTCGCATGACTCTATTGAGGGCCAACTAATCTTAAAGGATAAGTTTATCACTCAGTCAGCTGCAGACATTAGAACAAAACTTCAAAAGTCCGCCTTAGGCCCGGAGCAAAACTTAGAAACCCTACTGAACTTGGCAACCTCAGTTTTTTATAATAAAGATCAGGAGGAGCAGGCAGAACGGGATAAACGGGATAAGAAAAAGGCCACCACTTTAGTCATGGTCTTCAGGCAAATGGACTTTGAAGGCTCTGGAACAGGGAAAGGCTGGGCAAATCGAATGCCTAACAGGGATTGCTTCCAGTATGGTTTACAAGGACACTTTAAAAAAGATTGTCCGAATAGAAATAAGCCTCCCCCTCGTCCATGCCCCTTATGTCAAGGGAATCATTGGAAGGCCCACTGCCCCAGGGGACGAAGGTCCTCTGAGTCAGAAGCCACTAACCAGATGATACAGCAGCAGGACTGAGGGTGTCCGGGGCAAGCACCAGCCCACGCCATCACCCTCACAGAGCCCCGGGTATGCTTGATCATTGAGGGCCAGGAGGTTAACTGTCTCCTGGACACTGGCGCAGCTGTCTCAGTCTTACTCTCCTGTCCTGGACAACTGTCCTCCAGATCTGTCACTATCTGAGGGGATCCTAGGACAGGCAGTCACTATATACTTCTCCCAGCCACTAAGTTGTGACTGGCGAACTTTACTCTTTTCACATGTCTTTCTAATTATGCCTGAAAGCCCCACTCCTTTGTTAGGGAGAGACATCCTAGGAAAAGCAGGGGCCGTTATACACTAGAATTAGGAGAAGGAAAAAGGGTAAATATATATAAAGACTCTAAGTATGCTTACCTAACTCTCCATGCCCATGCAACAATATGGAGAGAAAGGGAATTCCTAACTTCCGAGGGAATACCTATCAAACATCAGGAAGACATTAGGAGATTATTTTTGGCTCTACAGAAACCTAAAGAGGTGGCAGTTTTACACTGCCAGGGTCACCAGAAAGAAAAGAAAAGAAGTAGAAGGGAACCGCCAAGCAGATATTGAAGCCAAAAGAGTTGCAAGGTAGGACCCTCCATTAGAAATGCTTACAGAAGGACCCCTAGTATGGGGTAATCCCCTCCAGGAAACCAAGGCCCAGTACTCAGCAGAAGAAATAGAATGGGGAACCTCAAGAGTACATAGCTTCTTCCCCTCAGGATGGCTAGCCACTGAAGAAGGAAAAATACTTTTGCCTGCAGCTAACCAATGGAAATTACTTAAAACCCTTCACTAGACCTTTCACTTAGGCATTGATAGCACCCATCAGATGGCCAAATCATTATTTACTAGACCAGGCCTTTTCAAAACTATCAAGCAGATAGTCAGGATCTGTGAAGTGTGCCGAAGAAATAATCCCTGGCACTTCAGGCCTACATTTCAATCCCTGTATCTTTAACCTCCTTGTTAAGTTTGTCTCTTCCAGAATCAAAGCTGTAAAATTACAAATTGTTCTTCAAATAGAACCCCAGATGCAGTCCATGACTAAGATCTACCGTGGACCCCTGGAACAGCCTGCTAGCCCATGCTCCGATGTTAATGACATTGAAGGCACTCCTCCTGATGAAATCTAAACTGCACGACCCCTACTATGCCCCAATACAGCAGGAAGCACTTAAGAGCAGTCGTCGGCCAACCTCCCCAACAGCACTTGGGTTTTACTGTTGAGAGGGGGGACTGAGAGACAGGACTAGCTGGATTTCCTAGGCAGACTAAGAATTCCTAAGCCTAGCTGGGAAAGGTGACCGCACCTACCTTTAAACACCGGGCTTGTAACTCAGCTCACACCTGACCAATCAGGTAGTAAAGAGGGCTCACTAAAATACAAATTAGGCTACAGCATGAGGTAAAGAAATAGTCAAATCATATATCGCCTGAGAGCACAGAGGGAGGGACAATGATCAGGATATAAACTCAGGCATTCGAGCAGGGAGCAGCAACCCCCTTTGGGTCCCCTCCCGTTGTATGGGGGCTCTGTTTTCACTCTATTAATCCTGCAAATGAAAAAAAAAAGGCAGAAGGAGAATTCATTCTCTCTTGAACTAGGACATGCATCTTCTCCTGCCCTTGGATACTGGAGATCCTGATCCTCAGGCCTTCAAACTCCAGGACTCATACCAGTGGCCTCCCACACCCCAGTTCTCAGTCCTTTGGCCTCAGACTGAGAGTTACACTATCACTTCCCCTGGTTCTCAGGCCTTCAGACTTAGGGTGAGTTACACCACCAGCTTTCCTGGTTCTCCATCTTACAGAGAGCATATGATGGGACTTCTCAGCTCCCATAATTACATTAGCCAATTCCCATAGTAAATCCCCTCTTGTCTATCTATATATATTCTATTGGTTCTATTTCTCCAGGAAACTCTAACTTATCAAACAGTAATTGCACTTCTAAAACTCCATCCTACAGAAATGGTTAACCATGTAGACAAAGATATATACATAAGGATGTTCACTGAATCACTAGTTATAACAGCAAAACTTTAGGAAACAAACAAAATATCTATCAATAGAAGAATGGTTACATAAATTACATTACATCTCTACCATGAAATACTACACAAAAGTGTTTTCACTCAAGAGAGCAGAAGAGTGACTTGGTCTGTTGCATTTTAAAATGATCCCTCTAATATATTGAGGGTGGTCTGTCATAGGATGCAGAAGGAGCAATGGCAGATAGAGAAGATCTGTTAAGATGCTATTATAGCAACGCAGACAAGGTATTAATGGTAGTGAGAAGTGATCTAACTGTGTGTGTGTGTGTGTGTGTGTATACATACACACAAATATAGACATACACATACACAAATTTGCTGACTGACTAGATGAGAAATATGAGAAAAAGAAAGGAATTAATGATGGCCCAGAGTTTCTGGCCTGAGCTGGAACAATGGAATATTTCTATCTAACAGATGAAAAAACTAAACCACTTAGAGGTTAAAAAACCTGTCCAAAGTCACACCAATAAAATGGTAGAGTCACTAGAATTCAGGTCCATCTGACCGTAACTCTTAATCGCTGTGCTACAATGATTTATTTGTCTAAGGAACTTCTGCATCTGTTACTGTGCCCAGTATTAGTGCGTATTTTCTTATTTAACATGAACTAATAAAAAATACTATGAGCTAGATCATTTATTAGCCAAATAAAAGTATTTTTTAGCTATATGCTTAATAATTATAAGATTTTTAAGGGACTTTTAGTCAGCAAATGACTTATTATTGAATGGCATTAATTGTCAGTGAAGATCATTACTGCCCTCCAGGATGACAAGCTTCATAAAATCTCAACACCCATTACACCCAACCTCCAATACAGGAGAGAAGACAAGCAAATTTGTTATCTGTGCTAATATGTTAAACAGAAAACTAAAATGAGATACATAAGAAATACAAAAATATGTATGCATATTAAACTTCTATGTAATCTACACCACACTTGAATGCTCTTCTCCAACTTGAGTCAGAAGACCATGTATGGTACTCAGAATGGATTCCAAATCTAAATTGAAGAGACAGTGAAGCAAAACTCTTCTAATCATTTTAGATATTTCCATTTTATTTGTGTAGGCCTACATACCTTCTTATTTGGGTGCACTAATTATCTTTTAGGAATCTCTGACAGTGTATTAATATTAGATAAACCTCAGGGAGGTAGGAAAATTATATAATAAAAGACAGCAGGTGTGATGCATCACACCTGTAATCCCAGCACTTTGGGAAGCCAAGGCAGGAGGATCACTTGAGCCAAGGGTTTGAGACCAGCCTCGGCAACAAAGTGAGACAGTTAGCCAGGCATTGGTGGTGTGCACCTGTAGTCCCAGCTACTTGGGAGACTGAGGCAGGAGAACCGCTTGAATCTGGGAGGTGGAGGTGGTGGTGAGCTGAGGTCGCACCACTGCACTCCCACCTGGGCAACAGAGCAAGACTCTGTCTCAGAAAAAAAGGAAATACAGTCGGGCTTCTGTATCCACGGGTTTTGCACCTGCAGATTCAACCAACTGGGATGGAAGATAATAGCATTTGTAGGATGTGGAACCCACAGATACAGACGGCTGACCTTTTGTATGTGTGTATAGGACGTTTTCCTATCTTCAGGGCAGACTGCCGAACTTGAGGAGCATCCATGAATTTTGGTGTCCGTGGACATTTTGGGACCAATTCCCTGTGGATATGGCAGGACAACTGTAGAGATGAATTTAACAGCCAGTTCAAATGCCTTTAGTCAAAAGCATGCCCAAGTTTACTCAGCAGATGAAAAAAATCTGTAACATAAACTACACTATTCCGATATGAAGAAGAGATGTAACAGTATATTGGAAATGAGCTTTTTGCCTAGAAAAGGATATTCAAACTCATGTCTTTGTTACTAAAAATAGTTTGGGAACTCAAGCTTTATAGTTAACTTCAAACAGATTCTGAAAACATATCTTAAGCGTTTGAAATTAGAGGAATAACATCTATTTTTCCACTATCTTCAAACACTCAACTATAATAGACACTAGACACTTGAACATGTGATTTTAAAAACAATCATGACAAATTTCCTGCATTATGATTTAGGAAGTTTAGCCTTACCATCTCTTACCTGTTAAGACAAAAAAAAGAAAAAAACAAAACAACAACAACAAAAAAAACACCTACCACTACCAAAAACAATGTAAAGATTATTTCCTTTCCCGTCCAGCAGGTAACAAATTAGTAGTTCTGATGGGCTATGGACCCAGAAGTTTATATTTTAAGGACCTATACCTGGTGATGACAAGTATGCAGGAAAGAGGGTCTGAATTTCCACGATCAATGAAATGAAATTGGTTCTGAGTGTTACAATGCAGAGTATTATAGTCAACCTCATTTTAACTGAATGCTATAAATTCATTCAATTAAATGTTAGAAGCTTGGTATGAGAGGAAAAAAAAGGGCTTTAGAGTCAGAGAAATGGGTTCAAATCAAATACCCTAGTTTATTATGTAACCTTTTACAAGTCAACTTCTCTGAGCCTTGGTCTTTTCACCAATAAAATGAGGATAATACTGCCTCTAACACCATTTTTATAAATATTAGATAAAGAAGATAAATTGAGCATGTGGCACAATGACTATCACAAAGCAATGCTCAGTCACCATTTGTTTTCTTCCTACCCCCTCTATACTAAATGTCAGAATCTCGCCTTTAGTCAATGACCTTCACTCAGTAGTGTGCTGGTTAACATTTAATAACTAGCTGTCCAGAGGGAAGAAAGCCCAGTTTATAGCACTGGTTTGTAGCACTGGCTTGTTTCTGTGGTGTAAATACTCCTACCATGGCCGATCCCAAGCATGAAGTCACTGAATGCAGAGATGTAAAGAGATGTGCAGTAGCACACCATTTTTGTCTATCCCATCTGTTTTATTATCTCTACTTTGTTTTATTTTCTTCATAACACTTTTACCTTTTTAAATTATCTTGTTTAATTATTTAGATATTTGTCATCTGTTTCCTCTGACAAGAAAAAGCATCAGGAAGGCAGGCATCTTGTTTCATGCTAAGTAGTTGTAAAAATTCCCAAAAGTATTAAAAAGTGTTTAAAAAGAAAAAGACTAATTCAATCAAAACACATCCTCAATTTCAGTACAATTGCTCTTTCTGTTTGGTAAAGGAAGAAAGAATAAACATGACCAGTAACTACCAAATGCTTAAATTCAAACAGCAGACTACTTCTCCCATATCACCTAGCTCAGTCAATAAAAAGAGGCCAGACAGAGGCACTTCCGTATAAGATGTCCAACTAGAGTATCATACTAATTGAATCCAAGGCAGGCAATCTTACTATCCTTAATAAATAAATTCAGGCAGTTATTTTATGACTATAGAAAGGGAAACAAATACTACTGTTAATAAGTTATGTATTATACTTTTTTATGTTTTATTAATCCAGCTTGTAGGCAAAGCCTCCATACCTTGAATTTACTTTACCTGCATTAATTAACATTTGCAAACATTCTACAGAGTTGTGATAAGCTGCTTCATGAATTGGCATCCATCCCCTGTTATCAGCAACATCGACACTTCGGCCCTTTTTGAGCAGTTTCCTTAAGACTTTAACATTGCCTTCCCTGGCAGCAAGTCCAACTGTAGAGCACGTGTCCGCGTAAGCCTCTGTAAAATCCATTTGTTTGACCAGTCTACAAAACAAGGTAGAAGGATAATACTATAGTCAATAAAACAACACTTCACTCCTAGAGGTCAGCAAATCACGGTGGGCCTGTCTAGTATCTCTCACATGACTGACGAAGAAGGGCCCACAATACAGAAAGTGACTGCCATGCCACAGTCTCTGCTGGTGCCTAAAGCAGGAAGTTTCTCTGTTTGGCAGATTGGAATTCCTTGGAAGGTTCCCACTAAAAACATGAAGGGACTTTTAAGTGTTCTATCTTTCCTCCTCTGGAAATGTTTGAGGAGTAGGCTTCTGCTCCTGTTCATACCCCACCACAACGCATTCTTTGGTGCTCCATTGATAAGAGCACCCTCTTTGGTGCTCCATTGATAAGAGCACCTCTGCTTAATCCCCAGTGTACACTACATTATGCAGAGATGGCCATTCAACTACCAGCAATGCTCAGCCTCAATATACAGCCCTCTATAGGAAACAACTAAACCCAAAGAGGCCAGAAAAGCAGTGAAAGATAGGTGTCATTCTAGTCTTCCTGCACCTGCTTGTCCTTTCCAGAAGAGGTTAAACACTCAGATTCTCTATGCTTGACCAAATAGACCCACTGACTGAGCATACTGAAACCAACAGAGAACACCATGAAGAGATGAGCCCGGTTTTCCTACATAGCCCAGAAAGTTCTTAACAGAGTTCTTGCCCACATCATCACCTCCCTCCAATGCTCACTTCAAGTTCCCCTCCAGTCAGAGTCCAGTATAGCTCTCATGTGACTCTCTCGAAGACACAATTTCTTGTTAGTGACTCTATGAAGCAGTTTGGATATGGAATACTTATTTGATTACATAACTATTGTTAATTTTCTCAGATGTGATAATGGCATCACAGTTATTAGGAGAATGCCCTTATTCTTTTTTTTTAGGGAACTTGTTCTAGGATGAATGTCCTTATTCTTATGAGACACATGTAGAGTATGTGGCAGTAAAATGTCATAACACAAGCAACTTCAAATGTTCTCCATTTAAAAGTATAAATAAAGTAAAAAGGAAGTACAGCAACTGTGCAAAATGGTAATTACTGGATCTAGATGAAAGGTATTGGTCATTACACTCTTTTTATCTGAGTTTTCTGTGTATTCAAAATTTTTCAAAAAAGAAGGGTTAGCAACCATATCAGGCAATTTGAAACCACAACTTAGAGAAAATAGGAAAAGACTTGCTTTTTTTTTTGTTTGTTTGTCTGGTAGCAGCTTCCTGCTGATTTCTTTATAAGAAAACAAATAATACCCCTTGAATCTGAGTGTTTTAGCATTCAAGATCATGGTATAAAAATCTTCAAGAAAGAACAATCACTTGGTAAGGTTTCTGTTTTCACACACAGAGACACAGCCATGATAGTCCAAGCGAATTTCCTAAACAATATTTTGCAGCAAGAGCTCTAATGAGCAGATCTTCAAAAAATTTTAGGATCCTTGACCCCTTGGAGAAACTCATGAAAGCTGTAGTTTCCCCCTAGAAAAGTGTACACCCCAAATTTTGTATACAAATTCAGGTTCCCCAGCTCGTTTCCAAAGCCTTTACAGGGGCCCCAAGTTAAGAACATTTGCCTGCTCTTTTGTGAACAAGCCAATGATAATACTAAAGATGAATAAATTTGTGTAAAATTTAAATATATAAACAATTCCCATTGAAATGACAGCTACTCTTTCACAAGCGTAAACTTCTATTGTAAACTTTCTGCTTTTATTTGAAAGGCAAAAGACTTTTTTTTCAGGACATAAAATCAAATATGAATTACATTCCTCTGGCTGCTGTTATATAGGCAAAAATCTAATTTCCAAAGCAGAACAAAACGTGTTTCTAGGTGCTTTGCTACCTGCGGTGCTGGTACACCGCCTCCGTATCTGGACACGAGTGACGACTCCTGCTCTTTTCTCCTTCCTCGGCCCCGTTAGAAATAAGCCCAGTTCCAATTTCAGAGCCAAATAGCTCCAAAAAGCATTGTGGGTATTGTAGTTTTCTGCACACGGGCACTAAAGGTAGGTTAGGGTGATTTACGGATGCTGCAAAAGAATCCATTGCTTACTACACCGAAGGTCAATGCCTCTTGACACCCTAATCAAGGAAATAAAATAAAGCTGACTGAGATCCGCTCGGAAAATCTTTCTGGATCTAAACTCCCAGTGCGCTTTGCGCCCCAAGTGGCCATCGCGCCTGCGCCCCGCGCGGCCGGTTACTCGCTTACCGGAGGCTTCAGTCCCCGGCGGCGCGGCGACAGCTAGGGTTCACGGCCACTGGGGCAGAGGAGCCGCGAGAAGATGTGGGTTTTTGGTTACGGGTCCCTGATCTGGAAGGTGGATTTCCCCTATCAGGACAAGCTGGTCGGATACATCACCAACTACAGCAGGCGCTTCTGGCAGGGCAGCACGGACCACCGCGGGGTCCCCGGCAAGGTGAGGCGCCGGTCAGCTCCCCACACTTACTGCCCCCTGACCCCTGCTCCCCAACTCCACACACAGCACCCACACCCTAGAGAACCACACCTTAGCGCTTCATGGGGCCAAAGCACATGGCTTGGGGTAACATTTCTGTAGATTTTCCCTGCCACCTGCCCGCCATCTCTAACCCAGCCCGGGCACTCCTTCCGAAGCTGCTTAAGATGCCGGTGGTTAGTCTCTAGAGACGGCGAGAAGCGCGGGCACAGGCGCACGAGCTCGCACCAGGCTGAGTGCGGAGATGGGGACTCCATCTCTCTGCAACCTCTGCCAAAAGAAAAAAAGTCCCATTGGCGGGAAGATGAATGCTCATGTCACCACAGAGTTGAAATAGTAAATCAAGTTGCAAATTCAGCTTTTTAGCAATTAAATTTGTTGGCATTTCTGCATTCTAGCCGACTTTCATGAGCTTGCGATTAAACGTGCATGTTACTTCTAGGATTTCTTTACATCTTTCAAAAGTTTTATTTTCTGACACACAGGATTGCAGAATGAGTTTCCAAAATTTTCGCTGGTTATTAAGGAACTCACTTTGGTTTTCAGTACTAGTGAAGTTAAATGAAGTTCTGGTTATATGAATAACATAGTACCAAACTCATTACTATATCCAGCATTATTTTAATGTTACTTTCTTGATGGTTCTCATAATTATAATATGAAATGTAAGTTCATTGATTCACTTTTCAGTCAGTCCTACAAAGACATTAATCTCAATATATGTATAGAGAATTAGCAGCAGCTCACTGCTTATGCAAATCAGCTTTGTACTGGCTACAAAACAACTAATCCATAAAGAAAACTAAGATTGAGGTAACTAATAATTTGGAAATTGGTCAATGGAAAGTGGAAAAGATCAAGGCGCTAAAGTAGTTTGCACCTGCTCATAAGAGAGACATGGGATTAAAATCACGAAAAGAACCTGAATTAGAAACCATTCTATCTCAACTAGAGTTGGTCAGTTAAGAACTTGGCTTTTAAGTAGACTATACTGGCCTATTGGGATGTTGGACACAGTGACCTGAAAAGGGGCAATGGCTTAGGATAAATGCACATTTACAGATCAACAGAAATGTCATGGCCAAAGTATCTCCAAGAATGTTCTAGAACAATATTCAAGACATTAAAGAACTAAGCTAAATTAAATGGCTTCTGAGTTGTCAGTTTTGGCTGGGCCCGGTAGCTCACGCCTCTGATCCCAACACTTCGGAAGTTTGAGCCAGGAGGACTGCTTGAGGCCAGGAGTTTGAGAGTTGTCAGTTTTGATATGAATATTTAAAATTGCCATTCCGAAAAGAAAACCTTTAGCCCAGGCTCCAATTATAATGACCAAGTATTAAATATTTATGTATGTGGCTATAACAACATACTTTACTAGTCTTGACGAAAATGTACAGTGTGTTACAAAACACATTGAGATATGTATGCTGTCAGAATAGACTGATGATTAGAAATTGCCTAGTCAACACAACAGTCCGTGATTCTTTAAAAGGAGAAAGGGGCTGGCCAGGCGTGGTGGTTCCCGCCTATAATCCCAGCACTTTAGGAGGCCTAGGCGGGTGGATCACCTGAGGTCGGGAGTTCAACACCAGCCTGACCAACATGGAGAAACCCCCTGTCTACTAAAAATACAAAATTAGCTGGGCGTGGTGGCGCACGCCAGTAGAGTCCCAGCTACTCTGGAGGCTGAGGCAGGAGAATCGCTTGGGAGGCAGACGTTGCGGTGAGCTGAGATTGCGCCACTGCACTCCAGCCTGAGCAACAAGAGTGAAATTCCGTCTCAAAAAAAAAGAGCTAAAAAAAGGTGTCTTTCTGATCACCTAAGACTCAGAATTCTAACTGCACTTAATACCATACATCTTAGCCCATATCTTAGCTCTATTTATTTCACATGTTAGTTTGCATTCTAGAATGACAATATAAGCTACTGGAACCAAGAATCAAGATTTCATCTTCTCCACAGCACACAGTAGCTATGCATAAATAACTTCTAATTCACTTTGAAATTGAAAATAATATGGCATTATCTACTTGACCCTCACCAATATATATATATCCTCATTGTAGCATCATCTTAAAAAGAAAACAAGTCAGAAATCTAAATGTCCAAGAACACAGGAACGTTTATAGTTCATCAATGACACAATATTATGCAACTATTAAAATGTATGAGAAGACTAACAGGAAAATTAAATGAGAAATCATAATCCAAAATCCCATGTGTTCCATGATTACAAATTATCTATACGAACAGATGAAGACTAAAAGGAAATAGCAACAAAGATGACACAAATGCCTGGATGATTTAGGCTCGCTATGTGCCAGACATTGGGCATACAAGTAGGTAAAATTGTGGCTTATGACTCAGCATTCCCATGAATGATGTTAAGGTATCAGTACACATACAGCCTTTGGTACTCCGTGGACGAAGTTTATTTAAAAAAAAAAAAAAAAAAAAAAAAAGCTTGCAGGCACTGATAGGTGTCACCTTTGTGCCTTAAATTATGGAACATTCCAAGTCTGGACTTTCTCTAAGGCTTTCCATTTATAAGCAAAGACTGTTTTATCAGTCTTTGAAATGGGAGAACAAATAAAACTTGTTTTGGCTTCATAATATATCATTTCAACCTCAAGTTGAATAGTAAAAAGTGAAGCTTTCCATAATATTGTTAACTGACCTGTGTTAAAACCAAAATGGGAAAATAAAATTGCCTAGAACACAAGTGGTCTGATTGTCCCATATAAGAACTACACGAATAGGCCAGTTCTAATACTGACCTTTAAATAGGGCAAAGTAAAGTTCATTTATGAATGTAAAAGAAATGCCTACCTTGAAGCACCATTACCATATACAGAAAGGTAAGAACACTTCATAACTCAGAAGTGTAAATCACTCATTCTCTCTCACTTAAAACCTCTTAATATCCCCTGGTAGCAGTGGTTCTTAAAGTATGAGCCCCAGAACAATTTCTGAAATCAGCAGGAAAGTTGTTACAAATGCAAATTCTTAGACAGCTCCAGACCTACAGAATCAAAAACTCTGGAGGTGTGGCCTAACAATGTCTTTGTCAAGCCCTCTAGGTCATTTTGATCCACTAAATTTGAAAGTCACTTCCCTATATATAGGAAAGCACCCTTTATGTCATATTTTTTTTCCCCTAATAAAACTATAGGCCGGGTGCGGTGGCTCACGCCTGTAATCCCAGCACTTTGGGAGGCCGAGACGGGTGGATTACCTAAGGTCAGGAGTTCCATACCAGCCTGGCCAACATGGTAAACCCGTCTCTACTAAAAATACAAAAATTAGCTGGGTGTCTTGGCGGGCACCTGTAATCCCAACTACTCAGGAGGCTGAGGTGAGAGAATTGCTTGAGCCCGAGAGTTGGAGGTTGCAGTGAGCCAAGATCGCACCACTGCACTCCAGCCTGGGCTTGTTGAGCAAAACTCCGTCTCAAAAAATAAATAAATAAATAAATAAAACTATAACATTCTTTTTTCCTTAAGGGAAAAACCAGAATATTTATAATTACTGCTTCCATTTGCCTTTCATTTTAGATGACCTTTAGTTACTGGTATGTTTTCCAATATATCCATGTAAAGTGAATATAATATACCTAATACGTATAAATTGATGGAAATCTTTTAGAAAGGCCAACACAGTCTCTAGATAAGGTAGGTTCTCTTAATTCACTTAAGCTTTATCATAAAAAATAACTATGCTTAAGAAATAGTGCTTCTTATGAGCAAATATAATTCAAATATTCCATGTCAAAAATGTTGCTAATGCTCAGCTACTTAATGAACTTTATTAATTCAGAAAAATTTTTTTTTACCTTTTTAAAACAGCCTGGAAGAGTTGTGACTCTTGTTGAAGATCCTGCGGTATGGTATAAATATTCTTTTTTGTATAATTTTAATTTTATAAAATGTTGCGATGTTTCTGTTTCAATTTGATTAACAATCATCACAGACAATTTGAACTACCCTAAATTTAGAATTCTTCTCTGTATTTGTGGGTTTTTTTTGTGTTTGTGAAAACTGAGGCCAATAAGAAAAGTTAGAATGCAGAGTGCAAGGTAGACAACAACGTACAGACAAATAGCATGTAGTTTTCGTTTTTGTGGGGTTTTTTGAGACAGAGTCTAGCTCTGTCGCCCAGGCTGGAGTGCAGTGGCGCGATCTCGGCTCACTGCAAGCTCCGCCTCCCGGGTTCACGCCATTCTCCTGCCTCAGCCTCCCAAGTAGCTGGGACTACAGGCGCCCGCCACCATGTCTGGCTAATTTTTTGTATTTTTAGTAGAGACGAGGTTTCACCGTGTTAGCCAGGATGGTCTCAATCTCCCGACCTCGTGATCCGCCCGCCTTGGCCTCCCAAAGTGCTGGGATTACAGGCATGAGCCACCGCGCCCAGCCGTGGGATTTTTTTAAAAACAAGTTTATTAACTAAGAATTTTGTGGTCCCCTTTGACATTAACGGAAATACCTGCCCCCGACAGCCAGACTACCACCGAGAATTAAATGGAACCCTTAAAAGCTCTCTTCACTTTTGCTACCAGTCTCATTTTCAGCAGAAATCTAAGTGAGGAATTCTTATTTTCTTTATTGCTTAATTGTATCAATAGCACCTGTGTGTTGTGTTTTGTGTTTTTGTTTTTAAGTTCAGGAGTACATGTGCAGGATGTGCAAGTTTGTTACATAGGTAAACATGTGTCATGGGGGTTTGTTGTACAGATTATTTCATCACCCAGGTATTAACATTAAGCCTAGTATCAATTAGTTATTTTTCTAGATCCTCTCCCTCCTCCCACCCTCCACCCTCCCGTAGACCCCAGTAGAACCTGTGATTTTAAAACTGGTTTGGAGCACCAGAAAGTTTTATTTAACCAACAATCCTCAGTTTCTTAAATATTTTCAGTCATTTTATTGGGGTACAGATTCAGAATTTTATATTGTGAAATTAAATGTTTAACTTTGGAAAGGACTTTAATAAACAAAAATCAAGCAGTTAGTAATGGCAGATAAATAATGGTGTGGATTAGGAAATGCTTTCATAATTGATACTACGAAAAGCATTTATAAAAAAGATCTTCAAATTGGTAACTTATAACTCCTAATTAAACAGTTAATAAACAAATGGCACTTTGTTTCTAGAATTTTTTAATGACCAAGTGAAAGGCTCATATTTTTCATTTCAGTCCCGTTATTAAAGAAAAAGACCAAATTAAAAAAAAATTTTTTTAAGATAAAATATCTTGCTGTGCCTATGATACAAAGAAATTATTCACAATGGAGATTTTAAAGTGCTTATTTCCTTTATTGTTTAGTATGTTCTTCTGTGCACTTTAAGTGAAGAAAAACTGTATTGACTTTTATTTATTTTTTATTTTTTTGAGACAGTCTCACTCTATAACCCAGGCTTGAGTTCAGTGGCATGATCTCGGCTCACTGCCACCTCTGCCACCCGGGTTCAAGCAATGCTCCTGCCTCAGCCTCCTGAGTAGCTGGGATTACAAGTGCCTGCCACTGTGCCTGACTAATTTTTGTATTTTTAGTAAAGACGGGGTTTCACCATCTTGGCCAGGCTGGTCTTCCACTCCTGACCTCGTGATCCACTCACCTCGGCCTCCCAAAGTGCTGGTATTACAGGCGTGAGCCACCGCTCCTGGCCCACTTTTAAAAATATACAAGATACAGGCAGGCATGGTGGTTCACACCTGTAATCCCAGCACACTGGGAGGCCGAGGCAGGTGGATCACTTGAGGTCAGGAGTTTGAGACCAGCCTGGCCAACGTGACAAAACCCCTTCTCTACTAAAAATACAAAAATTAGCTGGGCATGGTGGTGCATTCCTGTAATCCCAGTCACTTGAGAGGCTGAGGCAGGAGAATAGCTTGAACCCGGGAGGCTGAGGTTGCAGTAGGCCACGATCGTGCCACTGCACCACAGCCTGGGCAACAGACAAGACTTCATCTCAAAAACAAACAGAAAAGAATATATGAGATACTCCCTTAGATCACAACCTTTCTTCACCTATTTTAATTAGCCTTATAATACCAGTGTATTCTTTTCATTTTTCAACAGGGATGTGTATGGGGTGTTGCTTACAGATTGCCAGTAGGAAAGGAAGAAGAAGTAAAAGCATACCTTGACTTCAGAGAAAAAGGAGGCTACAGAACCACAACAGTCATTTTTTATCCAAAAGATCCCACAACAAAACCATTCAGTGTATTGCTATATATTGGAACATGTGATAATCCTGATTATCTTGGTCCTGCACCTCTGGAAGACATTGCTGAACAAATTTTTAATGCAGCTGGTCCAAGTGGAAGAAATACAGAATATCTTTTTGAACTTGCAAATTCTATTAGGAACCTTGTGCCAGAAGAAGCAGATGAGCATCTTTTCGCTTTGGAAAAATTAGTAAAGGAACGTTTAGAAGGGAAACAGAACCTCAATTGCATATAATTTAGTCTTCAGAGAATTAACTTCAGTGCACAATGACAATATGATTTGGAAATACGTTTACTTAAAGATCTTATTTTTAATGTAGTGAGGATATTATTTAAACTTTTATTTTAACTGGAAATGTCCTGAAACACATATTTAAAATATTGGGATACAGTGAAAGAAAAATTCAAATTTTAATAACATAAAGATTTCCTAACTTTATGTTATTGAACACTTACTCACTAGAAGTGAGTTCTTTAGAAAAATACAGTGAAGGACTCAGTTCAGTCTTGTTTTTATCAGAGTGATAATCATCCTGTTTCACATCCCAATACTATTTTGAAATTCTAAACAATTAAACCAAAATTCCAATAAATATAAGGTTATGCCTTCAATATATTCCTATACAATTCTGTAACCATGGTTTAAAATACACAAGCTTAAAATAACATGCTTAGAAATACACAATAATATGAACAGTATTTCAGCCTTAATTGTGAATTTCCTTGTTATTCAAGTATTAAATGAAATCTTTTGAGTTTTTAGCCAAAAATTGGCATTTTTAAAATACGAAAATTTCCTTGGAATTATAATGTACTGTACCTCTTCTTTTTTAAATAAAGGCATTTTACTATATGGAAAATAACTCACTAAAGCATAAATTACATTATACAAATCATGATCACTAATGATGTAGTCTGTCATTCACTTTGTATTAATCTTATACCAAAACTGAAAAAGATGGGCTGATACTACAAATTAATGGCACATATAATGAAAATTTAGTTTTTAAAACAGCTTTTGGAATTCTTTGTCTGTCACTATCTCAATTTGTGTGTGTGTGTGTGTATATACATATATATACATATAAAATTTTTTTTTTCTTTGCAGCCTGCGTCTGGCCATCCCACAGGCTGGAAAGTGTAACCTCTGGCAGAAGCCAAGAACAGGCACCTCCTGGAATTATAATTTTGTTTTGTTTTTTGAGACGGAGTATCGCTCTGTTGCCTAGGCTGGAGTGCAGTGGTGCCAACCTCAGCTCACTGCAGCCTTCACCTCCCAGGTTCAAGGAATTCTCCTGCCTCAGCCTCCCGCGTAGCTGGGATTACAGGCATGTGCCACCACGCCCGGCTAATTTTTGTATTTTTAGTAGAGACGGGGTTTCACCATGTTGGCCAAGCTGGTCTCGATCTCCTGACCTCAGGTGATCCACCAGCCTCAGCCTCCCAAAGTGCTAGGATTACAGGTGTGAGCCACCATGCCCGGCCTATAATTTTTTATTTGTACAAATTTATGGGCTACAAGTGCCATTTTGTTACCTGCATAGATTGTATTTTTTTAAGAAGTGGCATTACCTGATTATTTGTACGTAACTTTTTTCTTTATTTTGTCACCTAAAGAAGAGTATCAATTGGGTGTATGCTGCTACTCAACTAGGAAACAAGTTATTAACTCACATAGAATTAACTTTGATTCAAACCATTCAGGTTATTCCTGATTATAGGTTATTTCTTTCTCAAGAGGACATATAATCTCTCTAGAATCTTTCACCATAAGAACTTCAGTATAAAACTAAACACAATATACTTACTAAAAGCTCCTTAAACTCAGGCATGACTAATAATTAGTACAGAAGTTTTTCACATAAAGCTGTCCTACATGTCCTTTTCATGTTTTCCTATTTATTAACATCTTAGTAATTTACTCAGCTACATATCTACTTTAAATATCTTCCAACATTTTAAATATTAGTTTTCCAGACGGCATTTCACTTGTCCTGTAAAACAGAAAGGGTGATAAATTTATTAAATTTCTAATTTACCATCCCTGGTTCTTTCTTTCCAGGCAATTAGATGATAAATGTGCTTTAAAATTCTCTTCATCACATCACGCTAAAAGTTACCTATCAAATGTTCCTGTTATGCCTATCTTTTTTCAGCAAAAATACTGACTGTATTGTCTATTAATTTATTCAGCTTTTGGCAATCTATTTTTATGGATTTCTAAAACCTTGAATTTGGCCAGTGTAGTGGCTCACACCTGTCATCATAGTACTCTGGAGTGCTGTGATGGGATGCTGTGAAGGGAGGATCACTTCAGGTTAGGAGCTAGAGACCAGCCAGAGCAACAGAAGAGCACCATCTCTATAAAAAATTTAAAAATTAGCCAGGTGTAGTGGCATGCACCTGTAGGCCCAGCTACTCAGGAAGCTGAGGCAGAACTATTGCCTGAACCCAGGAGTTCGAGGCTGCAGTGAGCCATGATCACACCACTGCACTCCAGGCTGGGCAACAGAGCAAGACCCTGTCTCAAAAAACTAAAATAAAACCTTGAATTCACTCTAAGCATATATTACAGACTCAAAGATTTTGTAATCCTGTGGCTACTATGTTGAAGAATTTTAACTCTTCCAAAGACAATTAAAATACCAAAATTTTTCTTCTGTATGTCAAATTTATATGATGAAAATTAGCTTTATTGGATTTCAGGGACTTTTCATTCCTATGGTTCATTTTACCTTTCTAAAATACTATATTTCAGTTTCATTTTCTTGGTTGTTTTACTTAATTGTACTGAGCCTCCTTCTCTTTATAAATGGTTCGCCCACACATGTACACACACTGTAACTGGAAAAACCACCACTAATCCTACAGTTTCTTGTGTTCTTCCAGCTTTCTTATTCTTCACAGAAATTTTTTAACTACACAGTGCTTCACTTCCTTATCAACTCGTCTTAATCCCTTTCCAATTCAACTTTACTCTGCCATACCACCCAATCATTATAGTATCAAGTCTCCAATGACCACTTCCTCACTGAACCCAAAGATTGCAATTTTCATGCTTCTCTGGTGCATCAGACACTAGTGATCAAGCATCCCATGTCACTAAAGCCAAAGACAAAAACATTTCATTGTGTTTCCAGTTACAACTCTTACACTATTCTTTATCAAATACACAAACTCATCAAATCCTAGGCTTCAATTTTACTTGGATAGCTTCCAATCTCCAGCCTACTCTCTCAACCTCTTCATATGTCTGTTACATGAAGGCATCTCCAGTTGTGCTACACAAGCATGGAAACTTATTGTACTAAAACCAGTACTCATCTCCTTTCCCAACCAGAAAATCTGGTCCCACATTACCTCCCTGTACATAATACACATTAAACGTTGAACAATACTTAGTCCAGGAGAAAAATAAACAGGTTTATGATACTCATATCAATTTATAAGCTTTTGGAGGAAATAGATGGTATTTTCACAATATACACAAAATGTGTTTGTGCCTTTTTATTAAATTTTACCCTTTGTTTTACTAAAAACAATATAACATTTTTTAAAAAGTGTAAGCAATCTTGGCCAGGTGTGGTAGCTAACGCCTGTAATCCCAGCACTTTGGGAGACCAAGGCGGGTGGATCGCCTGAAGTCAGGAGTTCGAGACCTGCCTGACCAATATGGTGAAACCCCGTCTCTACCAAAAATACAAAAAAATTAGCCAGGTGTGGTGGCGGGCACCTGTAGTCCCAGCTACTTGGGAGGCTAAGCCAGGAGAATTGCTTGAACCCAGGAGGCAGAGGTTGCAGTGAGCCAAGATGGCGCCACTGCACTCCAGCCTGCGCAACAGAGCAGGATTCTTGTCTCAAAAAAAAAAAAAAAAAAAAAAAGAGTGTAAGCAATCTTTAATTGGAGGCCATTTGGCTAAGATGGTCCTAGGACTCTGGGTTCCTATGTAAGCAAACTGAAGCCCAATGTAAACAGTGAAACAAAACTTAATCTTTGCTTTTTATTTTTTAATTATAAACTGACTATAGTTATATATTTATGAGGTACAAAGTGATGATTTATGAATACAATGTGGAATAATTAAATCTAGTTAACATATCCATGACCTCAAATTTTTTTTGTAGTGAAAACTTTTAAAAGTTACTCTTAGCAAGTATAAAGTACATTATTAGTCACTATATTCACCATACTGTGCAACATATCTCAAAGAAAAAAATTCCTCCCCTTTGACTATCATCTCCCCATTCCCCCATGCCTTCCCTCCAACCCTGGTAACCACTGTTCTACTCTCTGCTTCTTTTAGTTCAACGGTTTTAGATTAAATATATAAGTAAGCACATATGTTGTTTGTCTGCTTGTACTTGGCTTATCTCATTTAGCTTAATGTTCTCCAATCCATCCATGTCGTCACAAATGACAAAGTTTCTTTCATTTTTAAGGCTGAATAGTATTCCACTACGTATGTACACCAGATTTTTCTTTATCCATTCATCTGTCTAAGGACCCTTAGGTTGATTCCGTATCTTGGCTATTGTGATTAATGCTGCAATGAACATGGGAGTGCAGATATCTCTTCAACATACTGATTTCCAATCTTTTAGGTAAATACCCAGAAGTTGGATTGCTGGATCATATGGTAATTCTATTTTTAGTTTTTTGAGGAACTGCCACTGTTTTCCATAACGGTTGTACTAATTTACATTGCCATTAACAGTGTACAGAGGTTCCCCTTTCTCCACATGCCTTGCCAACACTTATCTTTCATCTGTTTGATAGTAGCCATTCTGACACATATTGGGGTGATATCTCATAGTGGTTTTAATTTGCATTTCCCTGATGATTAGTAATGTTGAACATTTTTTCATGTATCTGTTGGCCATTTGTATGTCTTCTTTTGAGAAATGTCTATACAGGTTCCTTGCCCATTTTTTAACTGGATTATTTGTATTCTTTCTATAGAGTTATTTGAGTTCCTTTTATATTCTGAATTTTAATCCCTTATCTCATGTATGGCTTGCAAATATTTCCTCCCAATCCATAGGATGTCACAACTTAATTTTAATCAGAAACCAACAACTATTCTCTAACAAGCAACTTTCTGCCAGATTGTACCCAAATAAGACAAACAAGTAGCTATGACAATCAAGTAATTTTTTTTTTTTCAAGACAGGGTCTCGCTCTGTTGCCCAGGCTGGAGTGCAGTGGCACAATCACAACTCACTGCAGCCTCAACCTCCCAGGCTCAAGCAATCCTCCCACCTCAGCCTCCCAAGTAGCTGGGACTACTGGCATGTGCCACCATGCCTGGCTAATTTTTGCATTTTTTGTAGAGATGGAGTTTCACCATGTTGCCCAGGCTGGTCTTGAACTCCTGAGCTCAAGTGATCCACCTACCTCAGCCTCCCAAAATGATGGGATTACAGGTATGAGCCACTATGCCCAGTCCAATCAAGTAATTTCTTTACTTCGCTTCCACATTCAGCCTGCAAAGGTCTGCCGCTTACTCTGTTAAAACAAGAGCTCCCTGAACTACTTCTAATTTTGGGTGCTGCCAAATTCATTAATCCTTTAACACAAAAACAAATTCTGATAAATTGATTTCGTCTAAAGTTTTTCTTTTAACAAAGTCAAAATGAAGTTACCAAGGAAGCCCTGAAGGCTTTTTGTGATAAGGCTTAAAAGATTACATGATAGTAAAAGGTTACATGCTGAAAGATTCTCAACTAAAGAGCCTTATCATACATCAAGAGCCAGAGTTTCTTACATATTCTTCTTGTTTCCAATCTCTTTTCCTCTTTCCAATACACGCTCTACTGTGCACTCAGAATTACTTACCTAAAATATGAAACTGAGGTCAGTAATCAAAATGTCTTCCTGCTGCATATAAAATAAATTCAAATCCTTTAATCTGGCATTCAACTACTTACCATCTGGTCAATCTGGTATCAGTGTATTTGTCAAATTTCACTTCCCACTGACGTACTCCCCTGCCCCTCATGCTCCAATCACACCACCCTCCTCATTCTTTAAGACCTAGCTCAAATGAGCGAACTAATGTTATGTGGCAAGCAATGACTATGCACTGAGACCACCAAAATAAATAAGATAGTCCCCGGCTATCAAGAATCATATTTGGTGGAGAAACACACAAGCAAACAAATCTATGTTATTTAATATAAAAGATGTGATATAAAATACAAGCAGAGGGGTGGGTATGGTGCTCGTGCCTGTAATCTCAGCAATTTGGGAGGCCAAAGCAAGGGGATCACTTGAAGTCAGTAGTTTGAGACCAGCCTGGGCAATATAGTGAGACCATGTCTCTACAAAAATGTAAAAATTAGCTGGGCATAGTGGCACATGTCTGCAGTCCTAGCCACTCTGGAGGATAAAGCAGAAGGATCTCTTGAGCCCAGAAGTTCAAGGCTGCAGTGAGCTATCATAAGGCCCCTACACTTCAGCCTGAACAACACAGCAATACTCTGTCTCTAAAACTAATAACAAATAAATAAAATACAACCAGAATACAGAAAGGCAAATTACCAATTCAAAGTAGCAGAATCAGAGAAAGCTTCATAGAAAAAACAAAAAGGTGTTCATGTGTCAGAGAATAATGGTTAACACTTATGTAGCACTAACTATATGCTAGATTCTATTCCAAGTGCTTTATGTATATTAACTCATTTAATCCTTATTTTCTACGATGATGAAAATTGCTTAAGTAAAACAAATGTAGTATCATTTATTGAACATTTACAACATGCCAGGAACTGTGCTAAGCACTGAACAGGAACAAAATGAAATTAAGGCCTACAATTTTAAAAAGAACAAAAAAGGAAGCCGGGCAAGTGGCTCACACCTGTAATCCCAGCACTTTGGGAGGCTTGAGGGGGCAAATCACTTGAGCCCAGGAGTTCAAGACCAGCCTGGGCAACATGGCAAAACCCTATCTCTTACAAAAAATACAAAAAAAATTAGCCAGGCGTGGTGGTGCACACCTGTAGTTCCAGCTACTGAGAAGGCTGAGGTGGGAGGATCACTTTAGCCCAGGAGGTTGAGGCTACAATGAGCCAAAACCATGCCATTGCACTCTAGTCTAGGCAACAAAGTGAGACTCTGTCTCCAAAAAAAAAAAAAAAAGTGAGAGATGGTAGTTATCTCATTTTGTACCTCCATTGGTAGGGCTTAACCCCTTTGAGATTCTTTCCATTTTTTTTTTCTTTTGAGACAGAGTTTCACTCTTGTTGCCCAGTCTGGAGTACAATGGCGCCATCTTGGCTCACCACAATGTCTGCCTCCCAGGTTCAAGTGATTCTCCTGCTTCAGCCTCCAGAGTAGCTGAGATTACAGGCATGAGCCACCACGCCTGTCTAATTTTCTATTTTCAGGAGAGACAGGGTTTCTCCAGGTTGGTCAGGCTGGTCTTGAATTCCCAACCTCAGGTGATCCGCCTGCCTCAGCCTCCCAAAGTGCTGGGATTACAGGCGTGAGCCACCACGCCCGGCGGAGATTCTTTTTTAATTAGGACAAAATAAAATAGGACTTTTTAAAACAGGATTTAAAAGATTCACCTAATTACTTATCTCCTACAGCCATAATTTTCTTTTTAAACAACAGTATGCCTTGCCCAATTTTTTCAACAGCATTGATTTATTCAACAAGTACTGGCTGGGTGCCATGGCTCACATCTGTAATCCCAACACTCTGGGAAACCAAGAATTCAAAAAATAAAAAAATTAGCTAGGCAGGCTGGTGCACACCTGTAGTCCCAGCTACTCAGGAGGCTGAGGTGATGGGAGGATCGCTTGAGCCCCAGAGGTTGGGATGGCAGTGAGCAGTGATCATGCAACTGCACTCTAGCCCGGGTGACAAAGCGAGACCCTGTCTCAAAAACAAACAAACAAACAAAAAAACAATGGATTACTCACTCTATGCAAGGCAAACTAAGCACATACATTTTCCTCCGCTTCCTAACAAAATCGCACTGAAATGCACTCATTCATTCTGGAAGAGAAAGCAGGTAGGATTATGCTGAGGATTAAGCCAGTGCAGAGAAAACTGCAGTCCAGAACACACACACATGCATACATGAGAAGGCTATAGCAATGTAGAAGACATTCTTGCCAGCAGAGCCTGGAGAGGTACCAATCTTAGAAACAAGCAGAGGAAGGACGTAGGACTAAAATCAGAATTATTATAATATTTATATGAAACAGCAAGCCAAACTTTTTACCACAGCCCTTTACACACAAAACGCCTGGCAGCAACAGTATTTGTTTCTGGCTAAAACCACATCTATTTTGTTGTTATTGCTCTTTTTAATTTAACAGTCTACCCTGGAAGCCTTTGAGCATCTTCATGTTCCATAACAAAGCATTCCTTATTTGGGTACAGGGTGGAAGGAGAGGAGGAAAGAGGCAACTCGTTTCTTGCACTTCACTCAAGGACCCTAAAGTTAGACCCAACAGCTAGTACCCTGCTCACTTACAAAAGAGCTCAATAATTTTTTTTTTTTTAGATGAAGTTTCACTTTTGTCATCCAGGCTGGAGTGCAATGGCGCAATCTCGGCTCACTGCAACCTCCGCCTCCCAGGTTTAAGTGATTCTCCTGCCCCAGCCTCTTGAGTAGCTGGGATTACAGAAGCCTGCCAAGACTTCCGGCTAATTTTTTTATTTTCGGAGAGACAGGGTTTCACCATGTTGGCCAGGCTGGTCTTGACCTTCCAGACCTCAGGTGATCTCTCAAAGTGCTGGAATTACCGGTGTGAGCCACTATGCCCCGCCAAGAATTTTTTTTTTTGAAGTAAAAGCACAACAGACAGAAAGGATGAAAATAAACAACTGACCTGAAAGAAGCAGAGCTATTTCCGGGAATGGGACATAAATATTTAAAAGTTATAAGTGTTATCCTCAAAGAAATTCATGTCATGAGAACAATGCATCCATTAAAAATAACTAGATGACTAGAAACTGTGGGGAAAAAACCACTGAAAAAAGAAAGTGAAAAGAACTGAAAATCAAGGAAATGGACCTCTTGGATTGATCCTTCGTATTATGTATTTTTTCTTTTTATATTTTTCCTCTGTATTTGGAAGAATCTATCTAAATGTATTTGGAAGAACCTATCTAAATTCTGAATAGAACAGAGAAAATGTCAAGAACATAATTAAAGAAATAATTGAAGAAAATTTCCCAGAAGTGAAAAATAGGATTCATAGAGTGCCAAGAAGGATGAATGAAAAAAGATTCACCACCTAGAAACACTGATAAAATATCACAGAACCAATGATAAAGAAAACAGTCTAATAAAATCTTCCAGAGAAAAAAGTATGATACCTGCAAAAGAAAGAGACTGGCATTAGACTTGTCATCAGATACACTAGACACAAAAAGCAAGAGAATGTCTTCAGAGTTTTGAAGAAAACAAAATGATTGTGGACTAAGTCTATTCCCAAGCTATCATTAAATGAGCAGGCAAGGTAAAGGCATTTTCAGACATATGAAGTCTGTGGAAATTAAATTACCTGTTTAATCCTTCCTGAAAAAAATTGCTTGAAATTAGTTATACCCCTACAAGGTGGGAAAAAAATCTATGACAAATGAGGACATGGAATACATAAAGCAGTAGACCTAACCCAGGCATGATACAAAAAAATCTCAGTAAACAGGTATGCAACTGACTTGTAAAGCAACTAGTCTAAATTACATGTGTGAGAGCTGGAAATACAGCTTCAGGAGCAAAATGAGTTTATTTTAGCAAACATGGTGCCATTATTAGGAAGCTAATAGGATACCTTAATTGGCAGAGGTAGAATTACATTTTTTCTCTGCAGATGCAATCATACTTAATAGTTTTATAGCGAATGATGATTGTATAATTACAATATGGTAAATAGTTGATAAGTTTTCAATGTTTAAGAATCAACCTATAAATAAAGCATAAAAGACTTGTACTGATTGATGTCCTGTGGCTCCTTAAAATGTGTAAAACCCAAGTGTAGCCCGACCACTTTGGGCACATGCTGTCAGGACCTCCTGAGGCTGTCTGTGACACGTCCTTAACCTTGGCAAAATAAACTTCTAAACTGGTTGAGACTTGTCTCAACTACTTTTTGGTTTTCATCCTCTATTACCTTCCTGAGGCTGCTGTAACAAATGACCACAAACTGAGCAGCTTAGACAGCATAAATTGATTGTCTCACAATTCTAGAAACTAGAGGTCAGAAATCAAGATGTCAGCAGGGCTATTCTCTCTCTCTGAAAGCTCTAAAGAAGGATTCTTCCTTGCCTCTTCCTAGCTTGTGGTGATTACTGGCAATCTTTAGCATTCCTTGTCTTATAGACACATACTGCAATCTTGCTGCCTCCTCCTTCCTGGCATGGCATTCTCCCTGTGTGTCCATGTGTATCCAAATTTCCCTCTTCTTATAAAGATACCAGTCACCAGATTAGGGCCCCCTTTGATTCAGTATGACCTCATCCTTACTTGAATTATATTTGCAAAGACCCTATCCCAAGTAGTTCACACTCACAGGTTCTAGGGGATAGGACTTAAACATGTCTTTTTGGGGAACACAATTCAACCCACAACACCCCCTACAATCAATTTTCCACACAGCAGCCACAATGATCTTCACAAATGTACATCGGGTCCTGTCCACTCTCCTGCCTACAGAGCTGTCTCCCTGGCCTCTTTCTGCTTCTCAAACTTCTTCTACCACTTTCCTCTTACACTCCAGCCACACTGGCCTTCTTTCTATCACTCCAACACATCAAGCTCATTCCTGCCTCAGGGCCTCTGCCTAGAAATTTGTCTGGCTCCCTTCTTTTCATCATTCAAGTCACAATTCAAATGTCACTTCCTCACAGAAGTCTCCTCTGACTTACGTACTAAAAGCAACACATCCTACAGGTATTGTCTTTCACATAACCTTAGTTTCTTTGCAGCACTTACCAATACTAGAAATTATTTTACTTATTTAAGTTCCCCTCTTACTTGAACATCAGCTCTATTGAACACAGATTCAATCACTATAGCCCTAAATGCTAAAACAGGACCTCACAGACAGTTTTCATTTTTATTCCGTCAAATACATCTCTTTTCCTTCATGACTTAAGACTAGTGCTTAGCACAGAATAAATGCTAAAAAAAAAAAAAATTGACTATTACTACTATAATAGTTTGCAATTATTTGTTTGTACAATCTCCCTGCCTAGACTGTGTGACCAAAGACAGAAACCCATTTATTTGGCATTTTACCAAGCCCAGGGGGGCCAGGCACAGTGGCTCAGGCCTGTAATCCCAGCACTTTGGAAGGCCGAGGAGGGCGGATCACCCGAGGTCAGGAGTTCGAGACCAGCCTGGCCAACGTGGTGAAACCCTGCCTCTACTAAAAATACAAAAATTAGGGTGTAGCGGCGCGCGCCTGTAATCCCAACTACTCGGAAGGCTGAGAAAAAGGAGAATCCCTTGAACTCCAGAGGCGGAGGTTGCAGTGAGCCAAGATTATGCCTCTGCACTCCAGCCTGGGTGACAGAGCGAGACTTTGTCTCAAAACAAACAACAACAACAAAAATCCCAGGAGTCTGGATCACATTAAGCATTAATAAGAAGTGCTGAATATAATTAGCGAATAACAATTCTGAAGAAAGTTATCTTCTTTGATACTATGGATTCCTGATGTTAAAAAAAAATTTTTAAGATAGAATATGGGACTGTCCTTCCTGCTTTTTGATTTGGTTCAAATCTGAGGAAGTGGGGGCGACCAGTCTTTAACAGATCTAGCAAGACTGTCGAGCTTTAGGGAATGGTAATTTCTCTAAAGCCAACACTCTATGTCCATTATATTGGAGATCAAAACAGACAATGGCATTTTTTCTAAAGAGGGGGAGGGAAAAACAAAACTTTTTGTCTAATTTGGGGATGCAGTCAGACGTGACTTAGTTCATAAACACACACATTCATCTGGCGCTAAACCTCACATAAGGAACCTTACCAGCTTCCTTGATAAAACAACACCCCAACACTTCAATCTAGAGATGGAGGGTAAAAATGTAGGGTTGTGATGTCTAGCTGCCCATTCCACGAGAGTCGCCCACCACGCCAAATTCGGAGGCTTGCGGTATTCACCTACGGGGAGATGGCGGGCTACCTCACCCCAGGTTTCCCCTAACACAGAGTTGCAGTCGCTGAACAAACTGCCCTGCGTTAGTCAGAAGCTGTTAAGTAACGAGATGGCCACGGTCCACAGCAGAAGAGATGGAGATAAGCCTCAAGCGGGAAAAATGAAGTGTACAAATGCCAAATGCGGAGAAAAAGAAGAAAAGCTGCAAGAAGGCAGGTCAGTCAGGAACACCGCCATTTCTCACATCTCATCGCTACTTCGAATTTTCTCATCTAAGGACCCGCACCCGCACGGTTCACACTGTCTTCTTCCCGCTATCACTCCGTGTGGGTCAAACCTCTGCCTGCCCACTGGAGAGCAGCGGGAATGGCTTCAGGAAGCGGCTGCCGCCTCCGAGACTCACCGACCTGCCGTGCTGCCACTTCTACACCGAAATGGCTGGTCCGAGGCCGCGTCTCCAGAGCTGCGTCCCAGAAGCCCCCGCTTTCGATCCCCACCGCGATGCTGCAGCCGTCCGAAAACGAGAGACGCGCAGGCGACGTCCCGGCCCCCGTAGGCGGACGGCTCCGCGACCCCCGGATGTTGATATGTCGTCTGCCCCGGAAACGGTGACAGGAGGCTCAAGGGGGCGGAGGCGGCGTTGCCGGGCTCTCCGGAAGGAGACGTGGCGGCGGTTGGGCCGGTGATACCCGGGCGCTTTATAGTCCCGCCGCCTCCTCCTCCACCTCCTCCTCCTCCTCCTCTCCTCCTGGAGCAGAGGAGGTTGTGGCGGTGGCTGGAGAAAGCGGCGGCGGAGGATGGAGGAAGGAGGCGGCGGCGTACGGAGTCTGGTCCCGGGCGGGCCGGTGTTACTGGTCCTCTGCGGCCTCCTGGAGGCGTCCGGCGGCGGCCGAGCCCTTCCTCAACTCAGCGATGACATCCCTTTCCGAGTCAACTGGCCCGGCACCGAGTTCTCTCTGGTCAGTGCCCTCACTAACCCCGCAGCCACCCCTCCTCCTGACACTAAGGGTTCGGCCTCTTCCCTCGGTTTTCTTTGCTTTTTCTCCCCAAGACCTTCTCTGCAGACTCTTACCTTCCCCAAGCCAAAGCTGCTTTTATGCAGCGTTCATTCATTCGTTCGTTCTCACGTTATGTGGATGCGTCCCCCTTGCTGAGCATTAGGGATCCAGCAATCACCTGCTCTCCACCTTTTCAATTCTGTCGCACTAGACCTTGCTTCCCAACATTCCCACCCTGCAGAAGCAGCTTTCGTAGAATAACGTCAGGTGCACTTACTCATCTTCCTTTCGGAAAATTAACTGTGGCTCTTACTTCACCAGCAGACTTCTTTCCTTCAGTATTACATGTCACCCTGCCCACACCACAGTACTTCAGACTCGAGTTCCCTCTCTCGTATTCGTTCTCCCTCAGTTGTATACACACACGGACATACGCAAACGCACAGCTCCAAGGGAACTTTTTCCTTTCCTAGTTGTTTCTGAGAGGGCTATTTGGCCTGTGAGATGTTAACGACCCTTTATGCAGAATATCCTTTACAGTTTTCATGTATTACGACTGTTATTTGAGTCCCCAGAACATGAGCTTCTATGTTGAGTTTTCCTGTAGTGAAGAACATTTGTAACCTCGCGGAAATGAAAATTCCCTCTTGGGGGAGTGGACCGCTGAAAAGTCTTCCTGTCCACGTGTACCTACTGCAGGCTAATAAATATTGTACTCTTATGACACTTACCATGTAGTAATTAACTCATTTACTTCAAATTGAAGTCCCGGAAAAAGCAAAATTTTTTTAAACTTTTTATTCCAATTACCTTCAAGCATTCAACTTGCAATACTTTATTATATTCTTTCATTACCATTTCATTGAAACAGTAAGTGACACTATGATGTCAAAACAAGATGTGTCAAGTTAATGGATGTTATTACCACATAGCTTTCTATTTGCAAGTGTTAGGGGTTTTTTGGTTTGGTTTGGTTTGGTTTGGGTTTTTCTGTTTTTGTTTGTTTTTTGAGACAGGGTCTCAGTCTGTTGCCCATTCTGAAGTGCAGTGGTACGGTCACCACTGGCTGCAGCCTCGACCTCCTGGGCTCAAGAGATCTCCTCAGCTTCCCAGTAGCTGGGACTATAGGGAAATCCCACCACTCCTGGCTAATTTTTTTTTTTTTTTCTAGAGGCAGGGTCTCACTATGTTGCCTAGGCTGGTCTCGAACTCCTGGGCTCAAGCAATCCTCGTGCCTGAGCCTCCCAGAATACTGGGATTACATGTGTGAACCAAATGTTCTGAATTTATCTAGGTAAATATTTTTCTGGGACGTCAAATTTCTCTTTGTATTAATGCCACAAAATATTGATACATTGAAATACCTATGTAAAATTTTGTTATGAATCAGATATAACTTTAGCAGGCTTGGAAGAGAATACTTTAATACCTGTTGTTGTATCCAAAGAGCACACTTGGAGTGAATATGGCAGATGTTTGAAGAATTATGTCATTAAAATTTTTTACTCTTGGCACCTGTGTTTTTTTTAATTTAAAAAAACTTGCTGATATGCAGCCCTGAAAACTTACTATAAGCGAGCGACTAAAACTAGCATTTTTAGAGGTCACTACCAAATTGTCATTCCATTTTCTTTCAGTCTTAGCATTTGCTACACCAACTTTTCACGTATCTAACAATTTTATTTCAAAAAAAAAATGCTTTGGCCATGTGCGGCGGCTCACATCTGTAATCCCAGCACTTTGGGAGGCAGAGGCAGGCGGATTATGAGGTCAGGAATTCAAGACAAGCCTGACCAACGTGGTGAAACCCCATCTCTACTAAAAACACAAAAATTAGCTGGGCGTGGTGGTGCACACCAGTGCTCCCAGCTACTTGGGAGGCCGAGGCAGGAGAATCGCTTAAACCCGGGAGGTGGAGGTTGCACTGAGCCAAGATTGCACCACTGCACTCCAGCCTGGGTGACAGAGTGAGACTCTGTCTCAAAAAAAAAAAAAAAAAAAAAAATTCTTTTTTTAGAAGCTGGAGTGCAGTAGGTATTTATAGGCATGATTATGCTCACTACAGCCTCAAACTCCTGGGCTCAAGCCATCCTTCTGCCTCAGCCTCCTGAACAGCGAGGACTACAGGTGGTCACCATTGCATCTGGCTTTTTTTTCTTTAAGTCTGTGCTACTTTGAGAAAAATCTAGAGTGTTCTGTGAATTGTCACAAGGCCTATGTCCTTTATGTAAAAATAAGCCACAATAGTCATTATCATTGGTCTTTTGATTTTTTTTAATACTTCTATAACCTTAAGGCTTCCCTTTGCATTTAACTGAAATTACTGGCTGGGCACAGTGGCTGACGCCTATAATCCCAACATTTTGGGAGGCCGAGCTGGGTGGATTACTTGAGCCCAGGAGTTTGAGACTAGCCTAGGCAACATGGCGAAACCTTGTCTCTACTAAAAATAAAAAAATTAGCCGGGCATGGTGGCACATGTCTGTAGTTCCAGCTACTTGGGAGGCTGAGGCAGGAGAATCGCTTGAACCTTGGAGGCAGAAGTTGCAGTGATCCGAGATCATGCCACTGCACTCCATCCTGGGCGACAGAGGAGTCTGTCTCAAAAAAAAAAAAAAAAGAAAAGAAAAGAAACCACTACTCTCCTCACCTGGCGCTGCCATTTTTTTTAATGGGCCAGTTGGTTGGACATTTGTGTTTGTGACAGAGTCTCGCTCTGTCACCCAGGCTAGAGTACAATGGCGCCATCTCAGCTTACTGCAACTTCTGCCTCCCGGGTTCAAGCGATTCTTGTTGCCCAGCCTCCCCAGTAGCTGGGATTGTAAGCGTGCGCTACCACACCTGGCTAATTTTTTTTTGTATTTTTAGTAGAGATGAGGTTTCACCATTTTGGCCAGGCTGGTCTCAAACTCCTGAACTCAAGTGATCCGCCCACCTCGGCCTCCCAAAGTGCTGGGATTACAGGCATGAGCCACCGTGCCTGGCCGCGGGTTGGACATTTGTATCTAACTAATATGCAGCTGTATGAAATAGGATAAGGTCCTTTGTCTGTTTACTAACTGAAATTGGAAGAGACTGGATTAGAAGATCTGAATTTTTTAAGCTTTAAAATTGTCTGCTTTAAATTGTCTTCCCATTCAGATATATCAAAACAATATATAATTATTTACAATCTTGCTTTCAGATTTGCTTAGAAAAAGTATTAAGCACCAAAACTGTAAAATGGGGGTTGTTTGTGTGTTTTGGTAGAGATAGTTTCCCTATGTTGCTCATGCTGGTTTCAAACTCCTGGTCAAAACTATCCTCTGGTCTCAGCCTCTTAAAGCGCTGGGATTATAGGCATGAGCCACCTCACCTGGCCAAAAAATTTGTGTATTTTTGATGTGTACATTAACTAGAGTTAATAATTATGATATTCTTTGCTTATTGATGTTTAGCACTCAGTTTTGTTTTTGTGTTAATATTTTCCTTCTGAAGTATCACCTCTGTCGTTATGTTTAATTATTCATTACTTTATAGAGTTCAGAGATTTCACCAAATTAAACCACAAATCAGTCTAATTTTCTGTCTACTTCTGTTGTTGATGTAGAATATATTTTACTCAGATTTTCCCAAGCACTACTATTTGACCAACTCCATGGTTTATAGCATGTCATATACATTGACAGGTTCTACCAACAAGTGTATTTTATAGCCTCTACCAGAATAGAAGTTCTCTCATCCTCTAACCAACCTAATTCCTCCAGACCCACGTCAAACATTAGGAGTTCCTCTCATGCCAAGATATTTTTTAAGTTCCTTAACTTTTAAAGTACCCCAGCACCTCTGATTAGTTTCACTATATTAAAATTTGACTTTATGTCAAATCTCTAATAAAATTTGACTTTGTCAGATCTCTAATAAAATTTGACTTTGTGTCAAATCGCTAATTTCCTCTTCCACTGAAAATACCTTGTTATGTAAAGTAAGTTTTTTATACTATCTAATTCTGTACATTCAGAATTTATTATATTTTGTTTTCTTAAAGTAAAACCTGTTTTATACAATCAGAATCCTGATTTTAGTGGATCCGAATTTTTAGAAAAATTATAAAAGATAAACTTTTTCTCCGTAATTCCTGTTACCAAAAAGTAAAGTTTGCTAAAAATATATTTTGTGGTCCCAATAAGTGACTCACTATTTCAGCAGAGTTTTCAGATAGAATTGCTATTTGGCTTATTTTATTGGGAAAGCAGCCTTTCCTAAACTAATGAAAGACTATTATTTGCATCAAGAATTGTCTTCCCTTTTTTGCTGTGGTTCCAAACAAGCAGTTTCTTTTTACATTTGAAGCATTTTGGAGACCATTTTGAAAGGAATTACAAATGTTATGTCTCATAGCAAATCGTTGGCACAATTGAATAAATGTTTCTAAGAAATTCTTTATCATAAGTTTAGCTTTGCAACTGTTACTTTCAAATCTCTTTGATTCCCTCATCATCTATAATGCTCTTTTAAAAAAAAAAAAAAAAAAAAAAAAAGACGGAGCCTCGCTCTTTCGCCCAGGCTAGAGTGCAGTGGCGAGGTCTCAGCTCTCTGCAAGCTCCGCCTCCCGGGTTCACGCCATTCACCTGCCTCAGCCTCCCGAGTAGCTGGGAGTACAGGCGCCCGCCACCACGGCCGGCTAAATTTTTTTTGTATTTTTAGTAGAGACAGGGTTTCACCGTCTTAGCCAGGATAGTCTGGATCTCCTGCCCTCTATCTGATCCGCCCGTTTCGGCCTCCCAAAGTGCTGGGATTACCGGCGTGAGCCACCGCGCCAGGCCTTTTTTTTTTTTTTTTTAATAAGTTGCCCAGGCTGGGGTCAAGCAGTTCTCCCGCCTCAGCCTCCTGAGTAGCTGAGATTACAGGTGCACATCTTACTTACAGTGGCTTTTTAAACAAGTATCCTTGGCCATAATTCAAGTCTGCATAGTAATCTAGGAGAAGTTTGTGAAAGCTGATTCAAATATGTTAAAATATTTAAAAGCTCACAGAATATGGAGCCAATCTGTTTGAATTCTCTGGCCTCTGCTACTTCTAGGTTTTTTAACCTTGGACAAATGGTTGAAGCCCTGGGCGTTAGTGTCTGTTTCCGTAAAAATGAGCATCATACTTGTTTTGAGGATTAATGAGTTAATGAATGTAAAACACTTAAAACAGTACTGTCCTAGAACTAATACAGCTAGTACTTACTGCTTTGTTTTGTTTTTTTTGTCTTAGGGAAAATGCTGTAATTTGCTTTTGTGTTTAGGATTACAGTGGTGCCAAGTAGTACTGGTTTTATTATAGTTAAACAGTTGTTAGGCCAGGGCAGTGGCTCACGCCTGTAATCCCAACACTTTGGGAGACAGAGGCTGACGGATGGCTTGAGCCTAGGAGTTTGAGACCCACCTGGGCAAGAGGATAAAACCCCTTCTCTACAGAAAAATTACCGGGGCATGGTGGCATGTACCTGTAGTCCCAGCTACTAGGGAGGCTAAGGCGGGAGGATCACCTGAGTCCAGGAGGTCAGGCTGCAGTGAGCTGTGATCATGTCACTGCACTCAGCCTGGGTTAGTGAAAGACCCTGTCTCAAAAAAAAAAAAAAAGTTATTGTTAAATTGAGAATAGAACAAAGGTCCTTAATAAGAAGAGGTTCTCCTTGCCAGGAATAGCCAAATAGTACCATAGTTGCACAGTACCATAAGAGGAAAGTGAAGAGAGAATTGAATTATCTTAGAACATGTGTCATAAAACACAAAAATCTCTGCCTTAGTAAAATGAGTATCACATTTGCTATCAGGAAGCAGAGATTTGTTTTTACTAAAATAATATCTGTTGTATTAATTGAAGTGTTTATTTGAATTCTGTTGACTCATATTAACCAATGTGAATTTGTTTGGTTTCATAGTGTAGAAAGCTTTAAGGATAATTTTGTCAATATATGCCAGAAGTCAGCAAACTACAGCCATTGCGCTGTCCCACCACATATTTTTATAAATAAGGTTCTATTAGTACATCATCATCCGTATTTGTTTACATATTGTGTACTTTTGTTGCTACAGTGGCAGAGGCGCAACAGAGACCATATGGCTCACAAAGCCTAAATATTTACTCTCTGGCCCTTTACAAAAGTTTAATAAGTGCTCAGTGATGGTGTATCTATGAACATTCATTGCCACCTCTTAGTGCCTTTTTTTCTTTTTTTCTTTTTTTTTTGTAACAGGGTCTTGCTATGTTGCTCAGGCTGATCTTGAACTCCTGGGCTAAAGTAGTCCTCCCACCTCAACCTCCCAAGTATAATCACTATTTTAACTTCAATCTGTTGCATTCCTCCTTTTTTCTTTATACTCCAAACATTATTTTGTTCATTTATTTTCCTATTATGACACAGGATAAAGTTTATCTTCATTTTGTAATTAATAAATATGTTGATAAAACCACCAAAAAGAATGAAAGCATGTCCTTTGCAACCACATGGATGCAGCTTGGAGGTCATTATCTTAAGTGAATTAAGACAGAAACTGAAAACCAAATACCGTATGTTTTCATTTATAAGTGGAGGCTAAGTGTTGAATACACACTCAAAGACGAGAACAATAAACACTGGAGATTCCAAAAGACAGGAGAGAGGGAGGGGTGACAAACTACCTATGAAGTATTAGGATACTATGTTCAATACTTGGGTGACAGGGATATTAGAAGCTCAGACTTCATCATCATGCAATATATCCATGTAACAAACCTGCACATGTACCCCCCGAATCTAAAATTTTTGTTAATGTTTGTAGCATATTTTCCCTCCCTTTAAAATAATCATCTGTTGAAATGTTAAATTAGTTTAAAGAATCTTTTTTCCAGCTAAGACTAAAGTTATTCAGTGTGATACAATTTCACGGAGAACATAATGTATGTTTTTTCTTCTATTTGCAGCCCACAACTGGAGTTTTATATAAAGAAGATAATTATGTCATCATGACAACTGCACATAAAGAAAAATATAAATGCATACTTCCCCTTGTGACAAGTGGGGATGAGGTAAGTTTTTATAAATATATTGATAATCCTGTCACCAAAAATATTTATGTAAAACATTGTAACTACATACTTTGAAGTAAAATTGAATAACAGATTTCTCAATAACGCTCTTTTAGCATAAAAATAGTAATCACTTTTAATATCCCTGAATTCTTTGATTTTGCAGTTTATCTTGGGAAAAATTAGCAATCAATTTTTTTTTATTTTATTTATTTATTTATTTTGAGACGAAGTCTCACTCTATCGCCAGGCTGGAGGGCAGTGGCACGATCTTGGCTCACTGCAACCTCCGACTCCCGGGTTCAAGAAATTCTCCTGTCTCAGCCTCCCAAGTAGCTGGGATTACAGGCACACACCACCACACCCAGCTAATTTTTGTATTTTTAGTAGAGACGGGGTTTTACCATGTTGGCCAGGATGGTCTCGATTTCTTGACCTCATGATCTGCCCACCTCGGCCTCCCAAAGTGCTGGGATTACAGGCATGAGACACCATGCCCGGCCGCAACCAATTATTAACGTTTTGAATGAAAATCTAACTCCACACTTGCTTTCTTTATAGAAATTAGGGTTTTAAAACAAGATAACAATTTTTAAATGTATATGTGACTTTTTAAATAAATGATTGTTTATAAATAAGTCTGTAGGTACCCCATGCTTTCTCATTATCTTAGCCCATGCCCTTTTCTTCCTCCTAAAATGCCCTAATTGCCTCTTATCCATCCTTCAAGGCAATGACTTCTTTCAAGATGAAACAGGAGAGGCAGCATGGTAAAATGGGAAGGACACCGGCCTAGGAGCCAGGAGGCTGAGGTATAGGCTATAGCTAGCTGTGGAACCTTGAACAAATTTGAAACTGACTTCCTCCACTCAATAAATTTATTAAGCCAATTCAGTAATATTTTCATGATCTGGAAAATAGAAATATTAAACTCAGTGCTTTATTGGGTTTTGTTCAGATTTGAAATCAAAGACCACTGTTTTAAGTCTCCTTGAGACACACACACACACGCACACGGCATTCAAATCTGAAATGTAAAAATACATAAAAAACTGAAAAGTGCCTTAAAACTTTCCAATATATCCTATAAGATTCAACTATTCTAAGGGCTTTCATAGCTAAGAATTTGTTTGGGTACAAGCATTTAAAAATTCTGAAATAGGTTTATAAGAATTGTTCAGGAAACTGATACTTAAAAACCTTTTTTCCCTCCATTCTTGCCTTGTGAAAAGCAAAAATACATTTTAAAAAAACCTTTTTTTAAGAAAGCATGAACTCTGTGAAGATTATTTTACGGCTCCATATTTTATACTTCAGTTATTTGAAAGCAATGGCGTACCGTAGGGTCTTGTTAAACATTTTGACTTTTTTTTCTCTTTTATTTCTAAGCATTTGTGATTTGAGTAATGAGTTAATATCCAAACAGCAAAGTTGGGTGAAATTCTAGAAAAACTGTAAGTATTAAACTCCAATTCTTTCTTAGGAAGAAGAAAAGGATTATAAAGGCCCTAATCCAAGAGAGCTTTTGGAGCCACTATTTAAACAAAGCAGTTGTTCCTACAGAGTATGTATTTTATGTTTACTTGATGACTAGAAAATAGATTACCAACAGCCAACAGACCTTTGAAAATACCGTTTCTTCTTTATTATGTTGTGTCAGGTTTTTTTTTTTAACTATTATTTTAGGTTTAGGGTTACCTGTGCAGGATTGTTATATAGGTAAACTGCATGTCACCGGGGTTTGGTGTACAGATTATTTAGTCACCTAGATAATGAATATAGTACCTGATGGGTTGGTTTTTTTTTTTTTTTTTCTTTTAATCCTCTCCCTCCTCCCATTCTTTACCTTCAAGAAGGCCCTAAGTCTGTTATTCCCCTCTTTGTGTCCATGTGTTCTCATTTTTTAGCTCCCATTTATATAAATGAGAACATACAGTATTTGGTTCTCTGTTCCTATTGTATCAGATGTTAAGTTAGGTATAAATATAAATTATTTCTTTTTTTTTCTTTCTTTGCTTTTTTCTTTTTGAGAAAAGGTCTCATTCTGTCACCCAGGCTAGAGTATAGTGGCATGATCACGATTCACTGCAGCCCCAACGTCCCATGCTCAAGCTGTTCTCCCACCTCAGACTCCCCAGTAGCTGAGCACCACCATGCCCTGCTAATTTTTGTATTTTTTATAAAAATGAGGTTTTTCACAGTGTTGCCCAGACTAGTCTCAGACTCCTGAACTCAAGCCATCCACCCGCCTCAGCCTTTTAAAGTGCTAGAATTACAGGCGTGAGCGACTGTGCCCAGCTAGTTATTTCTTAATAATATCTTATTCATTTAAATTCCTGTCTAGTGTATGCAGCAGATACCCAATAATACCAATAACAAATCATATCACTTACCAAGCTGTTTTGAATGTTTTTCAGTTCAAAATAAAGTTTTCTTTTTCTTTTTTTTTTTTTTTTTTTTGAGACAGAGTTTCACTCCGTCACCCAGGCTGGAGTGCAGTGGCACGATCTCAGCTCACTGCAACCTCCGCCTGCCAGGTTCAAGCGCTTCTTCTGCCTCAGCCTCCCAAGTAGCTAGGGTTACACACACGCGCTACCACATCCCGCTAATTTTTTTGTATTTTTTAGTAGAGATGGGGTTTTGCCATGTTGGCCAAGCTGGTCTCGAACTCCTGGTCTCAAGTGATCTGCCCACCTTGGCCTCCCAAAGTGCTGGGATTACAGGCGTAAGCCAGTACACCCGGCCGAGTATATAATAGAATTTTAATTTAAATTGCTAATTGTTATTTTTTAAGCTATGTAGAAAATTGTCCCTAAGCCAGGTAATTATTACAGACCCCAAGTGTATTCTAGACCTATTTCCTTCACAGAATTCTCACATAGAGCTAGTGAAAATAATGAATAGACTTCAGAAATTTCACATTTTTTTGAGGCATAATTATAAGTGTCATTTAATGAAAGCTTACTCTGAAATCTTAGGGGAAGTCTCAGCTGCTTCAAATATCAGAAAGTAATTCAGCTGAGTTATGTGGCTTTTGTGCATTGAAATATATCCATCTTTTTTAGATTGAGTCTTATTGGACTTACGAAGTATGTCATGGAAAACACATTCGGCAGTACCATGAAGAGAAAGAAACTGGTCAGGTGTGTTTTTCTTCAAAATATTATTATGAAACATTATAAGATGAGAACTTTAATAATGAGATTGATAGTTTTAAAGTTGTATCCTTAAAAATGTCTTTGCAAAATACTTAGTATATTTTTATTTTACTTTTCAATGTAGAAAATAAATATTCACGAGTACTACCTTGGGAATATGTTGGCCAAGAACCTTCTATTTGAAAAAGGTTGGTGTCTACCCAGTGATTTGACAGTAATGCTGGAATTTGGTTTAAAATATATGTTCAAAATGGAATTTACGAGATTTTTTTTTTGGACATTGTGTGAATTTTAAAATACTGAAATAGGCTGGGCGCGGTGGCTGACGCGTGTAATCCCAGCACTTTGGGAGGCCAAGGCAGGAGGATCACAAGGTCGGGAGATTGAGACCATCCTGGCTAACACGGTGAAACCCCGTCTCTATTAAAAATACAAAAATTAGCCGGGCGTGGTGGCAGACGCCTGTAGTCCCAGCTACTTGGGAGGCTGAGGCAGGAGCATGGCATGAACACAGGAGGCGGAGCTTGCAGTGAGCCGAGATGGCACCACTGCACTCCAGCCTGGGCAACAGAGTGAGACTCCATTTCAAAATAAAATAAAATACTGAAATGGGCTTCTGAACTGTCCCTTACAAAACTTTCAAAGAAGTCTTTGTTTTCACCTTTTTTTTTTTAGACAGATTCTCTCTTTGTCACCCAGGCCGGAGTGCGGTGGCACAACCACAGCTCATTGCAGCCTTGACCTCCTGGGCTCAAGTGATCCTCCTGCCTCAGCCTCCCAAGTAGCTGGGACCACAGGCACATGCCACCATGCCCACTAATTTTCGTATTTGTTGTAGAGATGGAATTTCGCCATGTTGCCCAGGCTGGTCTCAAACTCCTGGCTCAGGCGATCCCCCTACCCAAACCTCCCAAAGTCCTGGGATCGTATGCATGAGGATGAGCCACCATGCACAGCCTAAAAGCTTTACTAAAATAAGTAAGAAAAAAACATGTTTATCAAAGCAGAAAATAGTGAAAACAATGCCAGGTGCATGTTAGTGTTATATATAAGTGTTAGTCTTCTGCTTGGCTTAAGCAAAGTTATTATATGTAGAAATAGATATATCTCTCAAATTGTGAAATATGTTTATTCTATATTCAGATTGGTCAGTTAATTTAATATTAAATTTTTCACTGAGATAAAAATACCTCGAAAGAAAATTGTTGTGGCCAGTTTTCTACCTGAAATAGAGTATTTCCTGGGTAAAGATTAAATATGACTTCCTTTCATACAAAACCATTTCAAGGAAACTAGCTTTAAAGTAGTAAGATAAAAATCATATGTGTTTTGGACCTTCTTTAGAAAGAAGATTAAGGTTACAAAGGTGGTTGAAAACTTACTCATTTGTACCACATATGTCACTGCTCATTCTTTACACTTACCTTATTATTCCACAGAACGAGAAGCAGAAGAAAAGGAAAAATCAAATGAGGCAAGTGACAGATGTTGATTTTTTTCCTCTTAACACTTATTGTTAGTGAGGTATGAATTTATATAACCCAAGTGACAGAATATATCTTTATGTTCTTATTCTTCATCTATCAAATACCTTGAAGGACTGGGTCAAAGAATCTTTGCAGTATATTCCTTTTTTCCGAGAAAAGTTACACTGTGGTCTTTCTATTTACTCTTAAGATTATACAAAAATAAATCTATCACTGATGTATCTGGGGAAGATTCTGTAATAGCATTATATCACTTACGTGCTTAGCAGTGGTTCCCTCTATATAACACTGGAAACTATTAAGAGTTTTGGTCCCCATTTCCTGTGGGCAAAACAGGTAAACTATAATGTAAATAACAAGCTACCAAACTGCAAGCATGTTAAAAGCAGGGACAGTCTTTTATCTCTTTACCCCACAGTACAAAGCAGAGTGTCAGACATATTATAGGCACTTCATAAATGTTAATAGAAAGAATGGATAAATGATTTCTGTAACATAGGGACGTTTAAAAAGAATAATTCCTCAGGAAATCTAATCACAATTTTTAAATCCCAAAAATTTTTATAGAGTTTTTAAAAATAACTTATTAATAGAGGATATTTCCATAAATGGCTTAATATCATACTGATACTTTTTTTAGAAGTAAAGTAAAATGGCAAAGTCTTTGAAAATTACTTAAAAGTGATGCCTATAACTTTAAAGGGTAGCTTTGGAGAGACTTGATAAGCTAAGCAGAGACACACATAGCATTGCTATTTTAAAAGATTTTAATTTTATAGACTACCTTTGAGATTAAAATAGTTATTTACTGTGACTCTGAAAGACAGCAAAAGATGGAATTCAAAGTGTAAAATGATAAAGGAAGAGGAAGAAAATGGTAAGGGAAGAAAACTATTTTTTGAGCCCCAGTTTATAAGCCAGACACTGCCAGACATTTAACAAAAGCTAATGTTTAATTCTCCCAAAAACCTTTTAATACACAGTCATGAATCGCTTAGCAGTGGAGGTGCATTATGAGAATTATGTGGTTACGTGATTTTATCATTGTGCAAACATAATAGAGTGTACTTACACAAACCTACGTGGTATGTGTATTTTTATTTATATTTTTTCCCCATAGAAAACCAAGTTCGCAGTACCATTACAGAATATCAGTCATTTCTGCTACCGCAATGCCAATATCAAATACGATATATCAGATTTCTGATATATGCTCCATTACAATCTTATGGGGCCATTGTCTTATATAAGGTCCATTGTTGACCAAAACATCATTATGCAGTGCATGACTGTATATTATTATTCTGCTTTTACAAATGATAAAAACTGAAATTTATTCAAAGCCATAAATCTAGTAAATTTAAAGCTTGGATTTGAACCCAGGATTTTCTAATTTCAGACACTAGCTTAAAAATCACATACATATAAGGAAATCTCAAAACATTTTTTCCTGAAAACATTATTTATTCTGGTTTCGGACATAGTGCTGATAGGGTACTAAAGTGATAGAAGATGAGATCCCTGCCTCCAAAGAGCTTGTTTGGAGATATTATTAACAGTGCCTTTTTAAAGTTCTTAGAGTGGATTTTTCTTGTGTTTATGTAGAGAAAAGTGTAGGAGCTAACTTCTTAGTGATCTTTGTCTTCTCAGGTTCTATCCTTTATTCCTTCATTCCATGAAAAATTTTTAATTTGTCTTTTGCTGGCCTTGAGTATATTTATATAGGAGTTTACATGCTGGATAGTATTGCTGTTAATATTAAAAACGGGGAAGAAGAGTAAGTAGATTGATGAACCAGTCAGTACTGTATTTAAACTTCTGTTTTAGAATAGTGTGTTTTACTATACAACCCTATTTTTTGGCAAATCAGCCTTCAGACCTATCAAATCTAAACTCTAATATAGCCATTTACCGAGAGTTTAGAGAAGAAAGCTCTGAGCAGCCCAGTATAGTAAGTTTCTATATTTTATCTTAGTCTCTTTCTTTAGAACTGTTGAGAATAATTCATATTAATCATTATTTTGTAGCCCTTTATATAAATGTACATTTACTTAACATGTTAATTTTGGCACTAAATAATCTTTTTGCTGTATTAAACTAGCTCTGAAAATACATATTTGCTCAAATAAAAACTTACGAATCAAAATAATATTAGAGGGAGAACTTAAAATATAGAAGTGTTACCTTTCAGTTAATTAGTAAAATGTAGTTTTCTTCCTTTCAGAATAATAAGTTCCTCTCCCACCCCCAGTCCCATCTCCATGTCTAATGAAAAGTCTGTCTTATACTCTTTTTTTTTAAGATTCCCACTAAAAATATCGAAGGTCAGATGACACCATACTATCCTGTGGGAATGGGAAATGGTACACCTTGTAGTTTGAAACAGAACCGGCCCAGATCAAGTACTGTGATGTACATATGTCATCCTGAATCTAAGCATGAAATTCTTTCAGTAGCTGAAGTTACAACTTGTGAATATGAAGTTGTCATTTTGACACCACTCTTGTGCAGTCATCCTAAATATAGGTAGGATGTGCATTTAATATTTTAAACATAAAATGCACACATGCTTTAAAGTGTTCTGTGCATAGCTTTAATGCTTTGTTCCTACTGAACAGGTTCAGAGCATCTCCTGTGAATGACATATTTTGTCAATCACTGCCAGGATCTCCATTTAAGCCCCTCACCCTGAGGCAGCTGGAGCAGCAGGAAGAAATACTAAGGGTGCCTTTTAGGAGAAATAAAGAGGTATGAGAATTGTCTAATGATAGCTTTTTGGTGCTTCATTTTTAAAATTTCAGAGCATATGTCAATATTTTAATGATTTCTGTAGTATAATGGTAGTAATTTATTTTACTGGCCCAACCTTTTGAATTTCATTTCTTTTCATTGATTTTAATCCTTTTCCTTATTCTAGTACTACTCAAACTATTTTAATATTCTCTTATATTCATAATTTCATAATATTTTAAAGTTTGACATCCTACTCATTATAATTTAATTTTTAGGTATTTGTCCCAGCTAACCCTCTTGAAAAATAGACTAAAACCCTATCTCTGTCTCCTGATACATTATTAATTCTTCAGCTCATTGCTGCCCTTTTAACCACTTCTCTACACTGCCTCCCCATTTTAATATATTGTCTTCCATTTTCATCTGCCTACTGGGCATAGCCATATATACATTTTTAATAATCTCACACTCATCATTTTTTTCTCTTTCATACTGACCCTTTTCTTGCCTTCTCCTGTGTTCTACCCAATTGACCAATTAGAAACCTAAGTCTTTTTTCTTACCTGTATCTCTTCATTTATCTCTAACTCTAATCATCCACTAAAAGGTATCAGTGTTATCTTCTAAAGGCTTTTTAAATCCATCCTGTCATTAGTTCAGGACTTCATTATTTCTTGGAACCAGAAACTGGTCTCTTAACACATCCCCTTTCTAATTCTTCCCACACAGCTGATAAAATGCTCTTTCTGAAATCACCCTTTGATTATGTGTTTAATCTCTTGGTAGTTAACACATACTACATCTCAGGATAGAATCATCACTCGTGTAATACAAACCCCTTTGTGGTCTGATTTCAGCCTCATCTTTCATCACCATTCCCTTCATCCCAGCTGTTTTGAACAGCTTAGAGTTTCTTAAAAGTACCGCGGAGTTTTGCTCTCTCACCCAGGCTGGAGTGCAGTGGCATGATCTCGGCTTACTGCAGTCTCCGCCTCCCTAGTTCAAGCAATTCTCCTGCCTCAGCCTTTCAAAGTGCTGGGATTACAAGCGTGCACCACCTCACCCAGCCCTACTTGACCTTCAGTATATTGTTTTCTTCTTCTCTTGCGTTGTCCCCTCCCACCCCTTCTGCTCATGAACTTCTACTTAGGCTTGAAGATGTGATTCCAATGTTACTTCCTTTGGAAATGAGCCAAAACTTCCAGTGGATTAACCCAGGAAGAGATAACTACTTCCTCTTCTGTGGTCTTGTATTTCATTCAGACCTCCATCATAGCACTTACATGGCTAAGACTGATTGTTTTACCTATGGATGTTTCATTAAACCAGAAGGCAGAAGAAACATACTTGGCTGCAAGGCTTGTTTCTTTGCTTCCTCTTGAGTACTTCTGCAAAAATATTACTGGACTCTTTGTGCATGTTGTGACCAACACTGTCATTCTGATAGGAGGAAAATGTGATTAATTCCACAGTTTAATTTGAAATGCTATATTAAAAGATTTGGGCTAGAATTCTCTTCTGGTCTTCGTTTTGATAGTGAAGTATACTGGCACATACTTAAAAGTTAGCTCAATCAAAATGCTTCATAAATCCCAGCTTTCGTTACTCTTCAAGGAAAAGATGCCAGTTTACTTCTCTTTAAATAATGTGTTTAGTCTGGGCATGGTGGCTCATGCCTATAATCCCAACACTTTGGGAGGCCGAGGCAGGAGGATTGCTTGAAGCCAGGAGTTCAATACCAGACTAGACAACTAAAACCCTGTCTCTACAAAAAAAAAAAAAAAAATTCAGCCAGTGATATAAAAGTCGTGCTAGCATATAGCTGTAGTCCCAGCTACACAGCAGGCTGAAGTAGGAGGATCACTTGAGCCCAGGAATTCAAGGTTGCACTCAACCTGGGTAAAAAGAGTGAGACCCTATCTCAAAATTAATTAATTAAATAATAGGTTTAATCTGCCAGTCAAGAAAAATTGAATTTTTTAAAGCTACAGATGATAATGCTTTAAAAATATTTAGCATAGGCCAGGCACATGGCCCACGCCTATAATTCCAGCACTTTGGGAGGCCGAGGCAGTCAGATCACTTGAGGTCAGGAGTTCAAGACCAGCCTGGCCAACCTGGCAAAACCCCATCTCTACTAAAAATACAAAAAAATTAGCCAGGCACGGTGATACACACCTGCAGTCCCAGCTACTCGGGAGGATGAGGCACAAGAATGGCTCGAACCTGGGCAGCGGAGCTTGCAGTTAGCCAAGATTGCACCACTGCACTCCAGCCTGGGCGACAAAGCGAGACTCCACCTCAACAAAAAATGAAAATAAAAAAATAAAAATACTCAGCATTTTTTTTAATTTCTAATTTTTGTGGGTACATAGCAGGTGTATATATTTATGGAGTACATGAGATATTTTACATATACTCTTTTGTTGTTGTTGTTGTTTTTGAGACAGAGTTTCACTCTTTCCCCTAAGCTGGAGTGCTGTGGTGCAATCTTGGCTCACTGTGGCGCAATCTTGGCTCACTGCAACCTCCATCTCCTGGGTTCAAGTGGTTCTTGTGCCTTGGCCTCCTGAGTAGCTGGGACTATAGGCACGTGTCACCATGCCCAGCTAATTCTTATATTTTTTTAGTAGAGACAGGGTTTTGCCATGTTGCCCAGGCGGGTCTCGAACTCCTGGCCTCAAGTGATCTGCTTACCTCGGCCTTCCACAGTGCTGGGATTACAGGCATGAGCCACCACGTGTGGCCGGGTACATGAGATATTTTGATACAGATATGCAGTGCATAATAATCACATCTTGGAGAATGAGGTAGCCATCCCCTCAAGCATTTGTCCTTTGTGTTACAAACAATCCAATGAGACTCTTTTAGTATTATTGACTATAGTCACCCTGTTGTTCTATCAAGTAGTAGGTCTTGTTCATTCTAAGAGGTTTTTTTTGTACCCATTAACCATCCCCACCTCCTTCACAACCTCCCACTACCCTTCCCAGCCTATAGTAACCATCCTTCTACTCTCTATCTCCATGCATTCAATTGTTTTGATTTTTAGATCCCGTAAATAAGTGAGAACATGGGATGTTTGTTTTTCCGTGCATGGCTTATTTCACTTAACATAATGATCTCCAATTCCATCCACGTTGTTGCAAATGACAGGATCTCTTTTTTTTTTTTTTTTTTTTTTTGAGATGGAGTCTCACTCTGTTGCCCAGGCTGGAGTGCAGTGGTGCAATCTCTGCTCACTCCAACCTCCAACTCCTGGTTTCAAGTGATTCTCCTCCAACTCCTGGTTTCAAGTGATTCTCCTGCCTCAGCCTCCTGAGTAGCTGGGATTACAGGCACCCACCACCATGCCCGGCTAATTTTTGTATTTTTAGTAGAGATGGGGTTTCACCATCTTGGGCAAGCTGGTCTCGAACTCCTGACCTCAGATGATCCACCCACCTCAGCCTCCCAAAGTACGGGATTACAGACATGAGCCACCGCACCCAGCTACAGGATCTTATTCTTATTTATTGCTGAATAGTACTCCATTGTGTATATGTACCCTTTTTTTAATTAATTTTTTTTAGTAGAGAAAGGGTCTTGCTATGTTGCCCGGGCTGGTTTCGAACTCCTGAGCTCAAGCATTCCTCCTGCCTTGGCCTCCCAAAGTGCTAGGATTACAGGTGTGAACCACTGCAGCTGGACGACCCTACATTTTCTTTATCCATTCATCTGTTGATGGACACTTAGGTTGTTTCCAAATGTTGGCTGTTGTGAACAGTGCTGCAACAAACATGGAAGTGCAGATATCTCTTCAATATACTGATTTCCTTTCTTTTGGGTATAGACCCAGCAGTGGGATTGCTGGATCTTATAATAATTCTATTTCTAGTTTTTTGAGAAAGCTCCAGACTGTTCTGTATAGTGTTTGTACTAATTTACATTCCCACCAACAGTATACAAGGGTTACCTTTCCACACATCCTTGCCAGCATTTCTTATTGCCTGTCTTTTGGATAAAAGCCGTTTTAACTGGGGTCAGATGATATCTCATTGTAGTTTTGATTTGCTTTTCTCTGATGATCAATGATGTTGATACTTAGTATCTTTAGGGTACATGTGCCATATGAAAATCTTAGGTGATACTGTAGGATGAGTAGTTAGTTAAAACTGATAATCTTTATTTCAGAATCACTTTTTCATAAATCTGTTAAACGTAACTTTTCTTTTGAAAATGTACATTTAGCATATGGTTTGCCTCTTTAGTGTGGGTCAGCCTTTCCCATACAGATAAACACTTTTTTTCTTTTATAAACAAAAATATAAATCTGGCTATCAGAGTTTTGGTTTGATGTTCTGCCTGTTATGTTAATTTAGAGATTACTGGACTATTAGGAGTCCATGTAATGAATTTTCTACTCTACTATATAAACTACCATCCTATTTTTATTAGAATAATTTTCCTTAAAAATGAAAATGGATGTTCTGTCCAGAAGAAGTAGTAATAAAGGGTCATGCTTCTATTCTTGCCACCTCTTCCCCTTATCTCAGCTGCAGGTTTCACTATGCAGCATTATTGTTTTTCTTCATTAACCTTAATAGAGGTCTCATGTATTCCCAGGTTATTAGTTTAGTCTGTTAGACCTTCACTCCTTTGAAGTAATGGCTATATTTGCCTCATTTTTAATACGCAGCACCTAAAGTAATGCCAAAATATAGTAGGCTCTGTGTGTGGAAAAAGGTATACAATAAAGTTCAGAGACTTTTCAAAAAATAAGACAGCATCTTGACAGTCCTTGTTCTTCCTAATATTGGGAGGAAGAGAGAATAAGGTCATTGCTTTCTGGAGTAACCGTCCAGTGACTCATACAAGCTGAAGTAGAAGCAAAAGAACCATAGCTGGTTAACGGTAACTGCAGCAAGTGAAAAAGGGGACATAGTATCCACCATATATTTATTGGAAACCCATATACTGTCTAATTTTTATAAATCATTCATTCATTTATAATCGGTGCACTCACTTTTTAAATTCAGGTCTACATTCATTTCTTTGCCAGTCAATACCCATTTAACCACCAGATCCTAATTTTTTAACCTCTTTAATAATAATTACCCTTTTCTCTACATCCAACCCTGTCACTCCCTTACTTTAGATTCTCTTCATCTCTCACCTGGGTTACTGTAACTCCTAACTTGACTCTCTTCCTCTAGATTTGTCCCTGCTATTCCTTCTTCCTTGCCACTGCTGAAGTAATACTTAAAAATATCATCACAGCACATCTTTGCCTAAATCCTATAAAATGATGTCCAAACCTCTCAGCATTTAGTTTTCTACCATATAGCACCTGCTTCTCTCTTTAGATTTAAATATCATACCCCCACATCTTTGGTTTTACCTCTTCCTCAAGTCTATATGCATATATACACACATAGTCACAGAACACACAGATAAACACATAAATCACAAATTATTATTCTTGTTTCAAGAATTGATTAAGAGTTTTTCTCTTTGTGAAGTCTTCATATTTCAGTTCTTGGTCAAAGCCTATTTGAGCCACCTCTTCCTCTGTGAGTCTACTGTCCTCTGTGCCCTTACTGCCTTTTTTTTCTTTGAGACAGAGTCTCACTCTGTCACCCAAGCTGGAGTGTAGTGGCGTGATCTCAGCTCACTGCAACCTCCACCTCCCAGGTTCAAGAGATTATCATGCCTCAACCTCCCGAGTAGCTGGGATTACAGGCATGCTCCTGTTACATTTTAATAATTGTAACTAATATTCATATTTATTTGAACCCAGCTCTCTTTACCCTGTTTGTTATTCTTTCTTTACCCTTAGTGACCACATTTTCCAAAACCAAATGTAGGGACACAGAGCTTAGCAAGTAGCAAAGTACTTATTAAGAATAATGAGACAAGGTTGGGCATGGTGGCTTAGGCCTGTAATCCCAGCACTTTGGGAGTCCGAGGTGGGTAGATTACTTGAGGTCAGTATGAGAACAGCCTGGCCAACATGGTGAAAGCCCATCTGTACTGAAAACAACAACAACAACAACAACAACAACAAAAAATGCCAGGCGTGGTGGCAGGCTCCTATAATCCTAGCTACTTTGGAGGCTGAGGCAGGAGAATTGCTTTAACCCAGGAAGCGGAGGTTGTGGTGAGCTGAGACCGCACCAGCGCACTCCAGCCTGGGCGACAGAGCAAGACTCCATCTCAAAAAAAAAAAAAAGAATAATGAGACAAAGTATATGAAATGGAAATTAACCCTTCATGTTTAGGATGGTCGTAACTGATAGATGGAACTAACATTTGTCTGGAGCTTTCTCTATGCTAAGTGCTGCAAAGTCCATTATCTTAAAGTGTATTAAAAGCAAGTGGACAATTTATTTTTCAAATTTTCTGCAGTTTAAAAATAATAACTTAAGCCATAACTGAAAAAAGAAATTAAGTTTGGCATGGAAACCCTTAAACGTGTGTGTTTAATTTTAGGAAGATTTGCAATCAACTAAAGAAGAGAGATTTCCAGCGATCCACAAGTCGATTGCTATTGGCTCTCAGCCAGTGCTCACTGTTGGGACAACCCACATATCCAAATTGACAGATGACCAACTCATAAAAGAGTTTCTTAGTGGTTCTTACTGCTTTCGTGGGGTGAGAAGTAAATCTTCAGTTTAAATATTTATTTTACAACTTTACCTGCCAGGTATGGTCAGTGGGCATCAGCAGCACTGAAAAGAATTTTTCTCTAGAGAAATGACAGGATCCTTTCATCCCCAAAGAACATTTTCTTTTTGCAGTCTCATACCCCCACGTTTCTGTAATCTAATCCATAGCTTTTATGTTCTGTTTATTTCACAAGGTAAAAATTTGACCTTTTGTCTGGCAATCATATGTGATTCTGGTTGATTGCTAGAATGAGCATGTGATTGTATATCCCACATTTTGGTTATGTAGCAATCACATTTCAAACTGGAATTAACATCTCCCTTTAAAAAAAAAGTTAGAGACAGGGTCTCACTGTGTTACCCAGGCTGATCTCAAACTCCTGGGCTCAAGCAATCATCCTGCCTCAGCCTCCCAAAGTGCTGGGATTACAGGCGTGAGCCACCGCACCTGGCCAACATCTCCCTTTACAAAGTTAAAAATTTTGACCCTGACTCTTAGTACTAGTGGGAAATACAGTTACTAGTGGAATTTTTGTTTTATTGTATTTAAAATTTTACCAAGACAGTGCATATTCTCTGTATTTGTCTTTAATTTCTCAGTAATGTTTTCTTTTAATATTCAACCATACTATTGCTTTTACAGGTTTTAAAAATAACATGTATTTCCATTACTGTCATGTGGCATTATTGAGAAAGGCCCAGTTCTTAACTTGATCTAATATGTTTTCTTTTTTTTTAGGGTGTCGGTTGGTGGAAATATGAATTCTGCTATGGCAAACATGTACATCAATACCATGAGGTATAGAATAGCATTTATATATCATTCTACCACTAGATGGTTTAAAGTTTAAGAATCTGTTGTAGAAAAAAAGGGGGAATGGTATAACTTTTAATTATGAGATGATTTTAATATGATTAGTATAATCAAAGTATCTCCAAATTTTGGAAAATGGAACATTTGGCATTAACCAAATCGGTAACCTTAAAGTGATATTGCTTATTAATTACTCATATGCTTCTATTACTATGAGCCTAGTAGAATAATGAGCTGTTGTGGCTATACCTCTTTTGCTTTGATCAAGAAATTAATCATTCTTACAACTTATCCTTAAATTAAGAAAATGAATTAGCCGGGAGTGGTGCCGCATGCCTGGAATCCTAGCTACTCAGGAGGCTAAGGTGGCAGGATCATTTGAGCTCGGGAGGCGGAGGAGGTTGCAGTGAGCCAAGATCACAACACAGCACTCCAGCCAGGGTAACAGAGTGAGACTCCATCTCAAAAAATAATTAAGAAAATGAGGCCGGGCACAGTGGCTCACGCCTGTATTCCCAGCACTTTGGGAGGCCAAGGTGGGCGGATCACCTGAGGTCAGGAGTTCGAGACCAGCCTGGCCAACATGGTGAAAACCCGTCTCTACTACTAAAAATACAAAAATTAGCCAGGTGCATGCCTATAATTCCATCTACTCAGGAGGCTGAGGCAGGAGAATCACTGGAACCTGGGAGGCAGAGGTTGCAGTGAGCCGAGATCACGCCACTGCATTCCAGCTTGAGCAACAGAGCGAGACTCTGTCTCAAAAAAGCGAGACTCCTCAAAAAACCAAACAAACAAAAAAAGAACGAAAATAAATGATAAGATCATACATTATCACTAGGGTTACAAAAATTGGGTAAATACAGCAAGTTTCTCAGCCAAAAGAATAAGACACCCTGGGCCAGGCATAGTGGCTCATGCCTGTAATCCAAACACTTTGGGGGGCCAAGGCAGGAGGATCACTTGAGGCCAGGAGTTCAAGAGCAGCCTGGGCAACATAGCAAAACCCCATCTCTACAAAAAATTTTAAAAATTTTAAAAAAAGAAAATACCATATCATCTAAGTTTAAAATAAGTTTTAAGATTATACTTTTTGAGTTCTTTTATTTATAATTTTATAACTCACCGTATTCTCCCATACTTGAGCCAGCCTGCTTAAATTCTGAGGTTCAAGTTCCAATTCTGTTATTTGTCCTACTTATACTTTGTTTAGTAAAGTAAGCTGCTAGGTATTGAAGACAAGCTTTAATTAATGAATATGGACCTAGCTGCTTTAAAAGGCCATTTTCGTTATCTAAAAAAGAAAATAATACCCAAAATAGAAAAGTGTATATTTGCCCACTCATAATGTTTTGAACTGATCTCAGATTCCAAGATAGATCATACTGGGACAGACTGTCAATTCACCTTCCACATTTAAATCTTCCAAAATGAATGAGGCATCCATAGACTAGGATGTGTTCGGTTTTTTTGTTTTGTTTTGTTTTGTTTTTCACTTAAACCTGAGAGGTTTCATTTAAGTATTCTTTCCATTTATTCCTGCTACTTTGCAGATGTTTGTTTTTTTAATAACAATACAGAAAAAGGATAAAGTACCATTGAACTACAACCCTTATAATACCTGATGAGTTTCTTAATTAAAGAAATGTATGCCAGAAATTTTAAATGAGAAGTATCTGTCTCCTCTGCCATCATACCACTTCTCAAAAAAGTTTAACTACTGTTAACATTTTCATAGCCTGCCACAAGAAAAAAAATGCATATATATAGATCTTGGTATAACTTTTTTATTTATAGGGAAGGTATCATGCACTGCTCTGCCACTTGTTCTTTTCACTTAGTATCTTGGAGATTGCTCCACGTCAGCAACAATCGATTTCATTCTTTTCAGCAGATACAGAGGATTATGTCTGTACCACAGTGTATTTAACCAGACCAGACCTCTGCTAATGGACCTTTAAGTTGTTTCCAGTTTTTGCTGTGATATGTTTTAGTGAACATTTTTAAATAGTTCTGTTGGTATACTTTTGTAAGTATATTCATAAGGGACATTTCTATTAACATACTTCCTTGGTCAAAGTATCTGCATACTGGAAAATTGCCTTCCAGAGTTAGACCAGTTTACACTCCCATAAACAGTGGCTACATTCCTATACACTTGCCAACACTAGGTTTTACCAAACGTATTTTAGCCAAGGTTGCATAACCTGGAACTTTCTAGGGAACTCTGTTAGGTGTTTAGAGAGATACTAAAAATAATAGTAATTAGCAAAAAGGGTGCTTACTGTATGCTAGGCACTATGTACTTTACACGTATTAATTCTTTTAATATTCATAACAACCTTAAGAAGTGGTTATTGTTATTCCAAGATGAGGAAATAGAAACAAAGGTTCAATAACTTGCCTAAAGTCAAATAGGTAGTAACTGGGGAAACTGGAATTCCAACCGAGGCAGTCTGGCTCCATATCCAACCTCTTAAAACACTTCACTTTGCTGCTCTAATTTCTGCCTATCCAGGAACTTAATCTAGTTGCTAAAAACAAATGTTGTTAGCTATCTCTTACATTAGGCACTAAGCTCCACTGGGCATTGGCCCTGCTTGTTTCCTTTGCCACCATAGGGGTTTTTTTTGTTTTGTTTTGTTTGAGACAGAGTTTTCCTCTTATTGCTCAGGCTGGAGTGCAATGGCGCAATCTTGGCTCACTGCAACCTCTGCCTCCCAGGTTCAAGTGATTCTCCTGCCTCAGCCTCCCAAGTAGCTGGGGTTACAGGCATGCGCCAGCACGCCCGGCTAATTTTGTATTTTTAGTAGAGTAGTTTCTACATGTTGGTCAGGCCGGTCTCGAACTCCCGACCTCAGGTGATTTCGCCCACCTCAGCCTCCCAAAATGGTGGGATTACAAGTGTGAGCCTCCGCGCCCCAGCCAGGGGTTTTTAATTCTACTAACCAGATATCTATTAGTGCCCAGCATGGTTGTCTGGCATACACTATGAAGAAAGAAACCAAAGGAATGCAAGGAGGTAGGAAGGATAAGGAAGAAGAAAGAAGGAAGGATTTCCACATATAAGACAGTATATAGTTAGTGTTTAAAAAATAATAAAAGCAGAATGGGAAAAGGGGTTTCTGGACAGACAGTTCCAATAGAGAAATAAGTATGGTACCAAATGAATAGTGTAAAGATCAGTATAACATTGCGTAGGATGAAGTCAGGCTGCAGTGGAAGAGATAGAGGCCAAAGATGCAATTAAGAATTGCAGTAGTATGTGATAGTATTATCTAGGTATGAGAGATTAAACTCTTGGTTGTGGGGTGAGTTGCTGGCAGTGAAAAAGTAGAGGAAGAGTCTAAAGCTGAAAAATATCCAGGAAAGAACTGATGGGACTTACCTGTAGAAGAGAAAAAGAGATAGAAGAGCCGAAAATAACTACATTTAGAGCTAGCCTTACTAAAAATTAGTTATGTTATTCAGAGAAACAAGGAATAAAGAAGATAATGTGCTTAAATTTCCACTCATTGAATTTGACTGACATCATTACACCTAAATATAGATATCCACTGTGCAGATAAAGACTAGCTTACAAGAAGGTCAGGTCATCAGCATAAATATCTACTTGATGATATCAAGCACGCATTATCACAAATTTTTTTCCCATATTAGGACAAGGATAGTGGGAAAACCTCTGTGGTTGTCGGGACATGGAACCAAGAAGAGCATATTGAATGGGCTAAGAAGAATACTGCTAGAGCTTATCATCTTCAAGACGATGGTACCCAGACAGTCAGGTAAAGATTCACTTTACTTGCCTTTGGAGCTAATTACTACAATTTCTAAAACTCAAAATATTGAAAAACATAAAAATTCAAACATTTAAGTAAAATCCCTGTTTAGTTTTTTTCAAGGGATATCTTTTAGGTTAGTTTTCTTTTCTTAGGGAAGCAACACAGTGTAATAGTTCAGAGCACAGTCCCTGGAGTCAGACTACCTGGATTCAAATGCTGGCTCATCACTTCCTACCTTGGAGAAATTACATCATCTTTTTTATCTCTCACTTTTGTTGTGTAATGGTATTTGCCTCATATGATTATTGTGTCATTTAAGAGGTAATTTATGTAAAGGAGAATGCCTGGCAATAGCATGCAATAAACCTGGGCTGCCACCCATAACAGTGGGGGTGATAACATTAATGAGAGTGGCAGTGGTGTTAGTAACTGGCTCAATTCTGTCAGAACTGAGGGTGTTTTTTAAAAACTACCTCACATCTCTTTTAGGATATATGAGTATACCTTGTCAAAACACCAGTAAGTTAATCTCATTTCCCAAGAATAACTACGCATTAGCTTTTCTTGCAGACTCTTAACTCAGTATGTTTTCAATTATTCCTTCTTGTTCCTTCTTGGGTATTACCTTTTCCTTCCTAAAACAGATGATTTGGATTGTTTTCAGAGTGTACTGACTTTTCGGGCTGATAAAAGTCAAAGTCAGCCAAATTAAAACATAGACTTTTTTTTTTTTAATACTTTAAGTTTTAGGGTACATGTGCACAATGTGCAGGTTAGTTACATATGTATACATGTGCCATGCTGGTGTGCTGCACCCATTAACTCATCATTTAGCATTAGGTATATCTCCTAAAGCTATCTTCCCCCCTCCCACAGACATTTAATTATTGTACTAAACAAATTGATTTTTCTTATCCTTGTAGGTATATGTTTTATGTGAAAACAGTTTGTGGTATCATGTACAATATATGTTGAAGAATGAGTGTTAGACTGGTAAAATGAAGCTTTTCTTTGGATCCTGCTCATTTGAGATTGACAGTTTGGCCTAGGCTTTGTCTTCTATACTACAGTGCCTAACGAACAGTATTTTAATGGGAGTAGCTTGATGGAGGACGGAAGCAAAGAACTGTTTTACAAAACAATATAGTGGGCTAGGGAAATTGATAACTTTAAAACAATTTTTTTAAAGGAATCTAACCAAAATTATTTGTATACAAATAAATAATATGCAAGTTGAAAATAATTATTAACTAAGCCAGTATGAAGTATCTCTTATATTCTCTTTATAGAATCCAAGAGAATGCCTCTGTGAGATAACCCTAAAAATATTTTTTTAAAGAATATTTTATAGTCAGGTTTTTTTTTAACTAATGCAAAACTGATCCCTCTAACCATCTTCTCACCCTACCCATTACAATTATTCTATTAGTGAGATTTTAGTTTAATAAAACTTGTGTGTTTCTCTGATTCAGGATGGTGTCACATTTTTATGGAAATGGAGATATTTGTGATATAACTGACAAACCAAGACAGGTGACTGTAAAACTAAAGTAAGTTAGACCATCAAATCATGCTGTATGCCTTTGTCTTTTAACTGCTTCCTATGGACAAAAGTTTTATGTAAACAGTATAATTATGAATAATTATGAAAGTATACCATTTAAATTATTGATAAAATTATATTAAATCATACAGGGTCCACTTGAGTGGGATTTTTAAGAGTACAGTTATTAACAGTGATCTTACTTTAAATGATTTGGACAGTACCTTAAAGTGCTCTCTGTTTTAGGTGCAAAGAATCAGATTCACCTCATGCTGTTACTGTATATATGCTAGAGCCTCACTCCTGTCAATATATTCTTGGGGTAAGTTAAAAAGAAAATAATCAAAAATTCCATTTTGAGCCATGTTTTAATTTTTTTTTCTTTTTTTTTTTTTTTTTTTTTGTTTTTTTGAGACGGAGTCTTGCTCTGTGGCTCAGGCAGAGTGCCGTGGCATAATCTTGGCTCACTGCAACCTCTGCCTCCCAGGTTCAAGCAATTCTTCTGCCTCAGCCTCCCGAGTAACTGGGATTACAGGCGCACACCACCACACCCAGCTAATTTTTGTATTTTTAGTAGAGACGGGGTTCCACCATGTTGGCCAGGCTGGTCTCAAACTCCTGACCTCAGGTGATCCACCCACCTCAGCCTCCCAAAGTGCTGGGATTACAGGTGTGAGCCACCACGCCCGGCTGCCATGTTTTAATTTTTTGCATTAAGTTTAGGAAGGACCTTCAGTAGTCTCCAAGGCTTAATATGGCCCACATACCACTCATGTAATAGTTGACATGGTTTTTCTTGACATTTTTTATTGAGATATAATTTACATGAAATAAAATCCACAGATCTTAAGTGTTGAGCTTGATAAGTTTTGACAGTTATATACACCCATGTAACTATCACCCAAAACAAGATATGTCACTGCAGAAAGTTCTATCATACTCCCTTCCAGTAAATACCCCTTAGCCTTGCTCAAAGATACCCATTTCTGATTTATGACATTGTAGATTAGTTTTGTCTCTTTTTTGGATTCCACATGAATGGAATCATATAGTGTATAATATTTCTGTACCTGAACTCTGACTCAGTGTAACACTTTTTTTTGGTGGTGTTTTGTTTAGTTGATTTTTTTTCTATTGATACATAGTATTTGTATATGTTTACAGGTTACATATGATACTTTGTTACATCCATAGAATATGTAGTGATCCAGTCAGGGTATTCAGAATATTCATCACCATAAGCATTTATTGTTTCTATGTGTTGAGAACATTTCAGGTCCTCACTTCTCAACACATCTTAACAGAGGTCTGGACATTAACTCTTTGTATTTGTATTGCACATATTTTTTTCTCTGTCTGTGGCTTGCCTATTCATTTTTCTTTCTTTCTTTTTTTTAATAGAGATAGGGTCTCACCATATTGGCCATGCTGGTCTCAAACTCCTGGACTCAAGCAATCCTCCCACCTTTGCCTCCCAAAGTGCAGGGATTATAGGCATCGGCCACTACACAGGCTGGAATGCAGTGGCGCAATCTTGGCTCACTGCAGCCTCTGCCTCCCAAGTTTAAGCAATTCTTGTGCCTCAGCCTTCCAAGTAGCTGGGACTACAAGCATGCACCACCGTGCCTGGCTGATTTTTGGGTTTTGGTTGGTTTTTTTTTTTTTTTTTTTGAAATGGAGTCTCACTCTGTCACCCAGGCTGGAGTGCAGTGGCATGATCTCGGCTCACTGCAACCTCCGCCTCCTGGGTTCAAGCGATTGTCCTGCCTCAGCCTCCCGAGTAGCTGGTATTACAGGCATATATGGTACCACGTCCGGCTAATTTTTGTATTTTTAGTAGAGACAGTGTTTCACCTTGTTGGCTAGCCTAGTCTCGAACTCCTGACCTCAAGTAATCTGCCCGCCTCGGCCTCCCAAATTGCTGGGATTATAGGTGTGAGCCACCCGCACCCAGCCCCATTTTCTTATTAATGTCTTTTGGTGAATGAAAAATTTTTATTTCATGAAATTCAATTTATCATTTATTCCTCTTTAATAGCTAACGCTTTTTGTGTTCTAAGAAATTTTTCTACCCCAAAATCATGAAAATATTCTCCTATATTTCCTTCTAAAGACTTTATGGTTCTACCTTTGATTATCTAATGCCTAAATGTGGTTTTCTCTGTATTTATCTTGCTTGGAGTTCACTAAGCTTCTTGGATTTGTGGGTTGATATATTTTATCAATTTGGGGAAATTTTTGGACATTATCTCCTCAAAGATTTATTCTGCTCCATTCTTTTTCTCCTCTATTTCTGATACTCCAATAAGACATGTTAGTATAAAATTGTTCCAGAATCTCAGACACTGCTTTATTCCCACTTTTTTTCCTTTGTTTCGATTTGGGTCATTTCTGTTAAGCTGTCTTCAAACTTGTTAATTTCTCTGCTGTGCCCAGTCCATTGAATGAATTTATCACTGATGTATTTTTTATCTCTTAACATTTCCACTTGGTTCTTTTTGTTGTTGTTGTTTTTTATTTACTTATTTTTTTTTTTTTGAGACAGAGTCTCGCTCTGTCACCCAGGCTGGAGTGCAGTAGCGCAATCTTGGCTCATTGCAACCTCCACCTCCCGGGTTCAAGTTATTCTCCTGCCTCAGCCTCCCCAGTAGCTGGGACTACAGGCATGTCCCACCACGCCTGGCTAATTTTTTGTATTTTTAGTAGAGACGGGGTTTCACTATGTTAGCCAGAATGGTCTCGATCTTCTGCCCTCACGATCCGCCCGTCTCGGCCTCCCAGAGTGCTGGGATTACAGGCATGAGCCATCGTGCCCAGCCTCCACTTGGTTCTTTTTTATCTCTACTGAAATTTCCTATCTGGTCATACATGTTTTCTTCATCATGTTTAGTATAATTATTATAACATTTGATAATTTCAACATCTGTTCCATCTTTGGGTTACATTTTTCTTTACCTTTCATTTTAAATACACTTAATTATTTTGCCATAATGTTCTATCATTTTTGTTGTATAAGAGCTATGTGTTCCTCTCTTACTCCTGTCCTTTGTTCCTTTTCCCTCCCCCGCTTGTTTAAAAATATTTTCTCCACCTATCTCATATTCTGTATGGATGACTAAAAGTTGTTTTTCAAGAAGCTTAATTTGTAGAAATAATGTTGGATGTTTATCTAAAACAAGGACTCATGCTTCTAGCAAATATAACTACATGTATCCATTCAGCAGAATAGTACTGAAAAGTATTCAGCTTAGCAACTTTTTAATGGCTTTGTTGTTCTTCTTTAGGTTGAATCTCCAGTGATCTGTAAAATCTTAGATACAGCAGATGAAAATGGACTTCTTTCTCTCCCCAACTAAAGGATATTAAAGTTAGGGGAAAGAAAAGATCATTGAAAGTCATGATAATTTCTGTCCCACTGTGTCTCATTATAGAGTTCTCAGCCATTGGACCTCTTCTAAAGGATGGTATAAAATGACTCTCAACCACTTTGTGAATACATATGTGTATATAAGAGGTTATTGATAAACTTCTGAGGCAGACATTTGTCTCGCTTTTTTTCATTTTTGTTGTGTCTTATAAACTGACTGTTTTTCTTTGCTTGGATACTGTGATTCCAAAATAAATCTCATCCAAGCAAGTTAGAGTCCAGCCTAATCAAATGTCATAATTGTTGTACCTATTGAAAGTTTTTAAATAATAGATTTATTATGTAAATTATAGTATATGTAAGTAGCTAATGAAGTAAAGATCATGAAGAAAGAAATTGATAGGTGTAAATGAGAGACCATGTAAAATATGTAAATTCTAGTACCTGAAATCCTTTCAACAGATTTTTATATAGCAACTGCTCTCTGCAAGTAGTTAAACTAGAAACTGGGCACATGGTAGAGGCTCACATGGGAGTTGTCCTCACCCTTGTTAATCTCAAGAAACTCTTATTTATAATAGGTTGCTTCTCTCTCAGAACTTTTATCTATTACTTTTTTCTTCTTATGAGTATGTTTACTCTCAGAGTATCTATCTGATGTAGACAGTTGGTGATGCTTCTGAGACTCAGAATGGTTTACTCTAACAAAACACTGTGCTGTCTATCCCTTGTACTTGCCTACTGTAATATGGATTTCACTTCTGAACAGTTTACAGCACAATATTTATTTTAAAGTGAATAAAATGTCCACAAGCAGTGTTGTCATGTAGTCAATGGCAGATTATTAAATTTCTTTATTTTTTTCATTATCCTGTTGTACACATTTTAAACATACATATCTGAACAAGAACAGAAAAGGGCCATAAAAGTCTTTTCCTCCTTTTTAGTAGTTCTGGCCAAAGACAGTTTAAGAAAAGGCTAATATAATTGACTCTTTTAGGGTTATTTATAGATTTTAGTAGGAAGCAGCACATAGAGAAAGAGCATGAACTTTGAATTCAGACCTAGGTCAAAATCCTTTTTTTTTCTCTCTCTCTCTCTACCCAGAGATGGGGCTGCTCAGGCTGCTCTGAACCCCTGGGCTCAAGCAGTTTTCCCACCTCAGCCTCCCAAATAGCTGGGACTACCAGGCACACACCAACAAGACCAGTGCAAAATCCTGTCTTTAACTTACTGTGTACAAGATAGGAAAAACCAAACACTTATACCCAATACAGCACAGAACACGAGGTCACCAAAATGTGTGGTTTTTCTTCCTCACGCCAGCCAATTTTCTGACACCAGCTGGGTGTCCTACAATTCAGTTCAATTCTGATACTCGTCTACTTGGAGTTGACAGCAGACCCCACAAGTAAAGGGCTCAGTTGCACAACACTGCTTCCACTTACTTCAGATGCCAATTGCAAGTCTGGGCATCTAGTACTTTTGACCAACCAGCTATAAATCAGGGGTTCCATGACTCCCTTCTTGGGTTTAATAATTTGCTGGAATGCCTCACAGAATTAAAGGAAACACTTTACTTATGTTTACCAGTTTATCATAAAGGATACAACTCAGGAATGGCCAGATGGAAGAGCTGCATAAGGCAAGGTATGGCGGGGGTGGGAGGCAAGGGGGTGCCTGCAGACCTTCTAGGCTTCCTCTGGGCGTGCCACTCTCCCAGCACTAGGTTCGGGAACCTAGAAGCTCATCAGATCCCAAGAGAGTTTATAGAGTTTGATTTTCAGATCCCCCTCCCCCTTTCTTTCCCCGAGGTCAGTAGGTGGGGCTGAAAGTTCCAACCAGCTATCAATCACTTGGTCTTTGTAGTGAGCAGCCCCATCCTGAGGCTATCTAGGGGCTCCACCTCAGTAACCTCATTAGCATAAACTCTATCCAGCATAAATTATATGCAGATAGAGATAGGGTGATCAAAAAGGGCTCCTTAAAAGTAACAAGACACTCCCATTACCTGGGAAGTTCCTAAGGTTTTAGGAACCCTGTGTCAAGAACCTGAGACAAACACGAAATTTCTTACTATACCGCATACTAGCTGTGTGATCCTAGACATGTCAGCGAACGTCTTTGAGCCTCTCTTCCTCTTTTGTGGAGAGAATACTTACTTCATAAAATGGTTGTATCAGTGAATGAATTTTACTGTGTGTAAAAAGTCTTGTCCAATACTTGATACCAGTATGTTAACTTCCTTTTATTGCGTCTGTCTCCTGTTAAGAAGATCAAAGATCAAAGCCATTAAAATACTTTTTTTTTTGAGGTGGAGTCTCGCTCTGACAACCAGGCTGGGGTGCAGTGGTGCAATCTCAGCTCACCACAACCTCTGCCTCCTGGGTTCAAGCGATTCTCTTGTCTCGGCCTCCTGAGTAGCTGGGATTACAGGCGTATGCCACCATGCCCGGCTAGTTTTTGTATTTTTGTATAGATGGAGTTTCGCCATGTTGGCCAGGCTGGTCTCAAACCCCTGACCTCAAGTAATCTGCTTTCCTTGGCCTCCCATAAGTGCTGGGATTACAGGCATAAGCCATCACACCAGGCCAAAATTCATTTCTTTAATGAATTAAAGAATCATATTTATTATATCAATGAGTTAAAATAACATAATTACCCTCATATTTAGTATAGGTGATAGGGGAGGGAGTTAAAAATTAGGTCAGTGCCAGAAGATACGTTGATAATATTTAGAACAAACTCTCTCTTAGAAGAGGGGGAAAAATGATCTTTTAAAAACTGTACTAGAATAGTCTACTAGGGAAGATTGTTAAAAACAGAATTCATTATTTCAAAATAAAAAAGATTTTATAAGAACGAGTCAGCCTTCTAGTTGAGTACACACCTAGCTACTCAGGCTGACGCTGGAAGATGGCTTGAGCCCAGGAGTTTGAGGCTGTAGTGCACTATGTCACCTGTGAATAGCCACTGCATTCCAGACTGGGCGACATGGCGAGACCCAGTCTCAACAAAAAAATAGTTCTCTGTCTTGACTAACATAGATCAAACTTCTTTGAGGGTAGGGGCTAGTCCAGGTATCTCCATATCTGTTTTAAATCTTGAGTCCCCTATCAGTAGTCTGTGAAGTCTCATTTGCTCTCCAGCTTACTTGCTGCTAACTCTGTGATACAATCATTCTGTATAAGCAGGCTGAATTGCTAACAGGGAAGGGAAATGGCTCAGCTATAATATGGCGATGCATTTTGAGAAGTCTATCTCGTGTCTATTGAAGCCGGTGCTATCCCATACCTAAACCAGATTCTTTTTTTTTTTGAGATGGAGTCTCACTTTGTCACCCAGGCTGGAGTACAGTGGCACAATCTCAGCTCACTGCAACCTCCGCTTCCCAGGTTCAAACAATTTTCCTGCTTCAGGCTCCTGAGTAGCTGGGATTAAGGCATGTGCCGCCACGTCCAGCTAATTTTTGTATTTTTAGTAGAGACAGGGTTTCACCATGTTGGTCAGGCTGGTCTCGAACTCCTGACCTTGTGATCCGCCCACCTCGGCCTCCCAAAGTGCTGGGATTACAGGCATGAGCCACTGCTCCCGGCCAACCAGGTTCTTAAGACAGGGCCTAAGAATCTGTATTTTAAATAAACATAGCAAGTGATTCTCTTTGTTAAATAAATTCTCTAGTGATTGAGAATTGCTGATGGGGACTTCACTAACTACTAGCCCTCCTGTCTCCAGGTGAGGGTTTCAGGGAAATAATTAGTAGTTCATCTTTACAAGAAGGTTGTGACATGGAAACTTTTGTTGGGGTTTTGTTTTTGTTTTTTTTCTGCTTTTTAAAATTTTACCTCTTTTCTTTGAGAGGCTACTAGGTGGGGCTTGTAGCCCAGCCCTAGTTTGTTTGTTTGTTTATTTACTTATTTGAGAGACGGTCTCACTCTGTTGCCCAGGCTGGAATGCAGTGGCACGGTCATGGCTCACTGCAGCCTCGACCTCTTGGCCTCAAGGGATCCTCCTGCCTCTGCCTCCTGAGTAGGTGGGACTACAGGCATGCACCACCACACTTGGCTAATTTTTAAATTTTTGTAGAGACAAGGTCTCCCTACGTTGCCCAGGCTGGTCTTGAACTTTTGGGCTTAAGCGATCCTCCTGCCTTTGCCTCCCAAAGTGCTGGGATTACAGGGGCGAGCCACTGCACTGGCCCCTAGTTTATAATCCTTGATTAAAGGGACACTGGCAACAAACTTTCTCAAAATTGAATAGTTATGTTTTGTGTACTATCCCCTATGAACTATCCTTTTCAATCAGTCTGCTACCCAAAGACCTAACCTGGTTTCTGACAATACTTAAGTACGTAAGGTTTATGTACCTAAACCTAGTACATAATCAGACCAAATTATTGACCCAGCAGCACCAAAGATCTAGCATTAAAGGACTTAAGCTAAACAAGAAAATAAAGTTAAGACTAAATTTTGAATAATTAGGTTTTGGAATCAGAGCTTCAAATGAAAATACATATCAGCTACCCTAGAATGATTTTTTTAGAGGCAGTGTCTCACTCTTTTGCACACGCTGGAGTGCAGTGGTGCAATCCCAGCTCACTGCAGCCTCAAACTCCTGTGCTCAAGCAATCTTCCACCCTCAGCTTCCCAAGTAGTTGGGACTGCAGGCATGCACCACCACGCTGGCCTCCTAGAATGATTTCAAACTCTTCCTAGTGTTGGGCGATTTTATTACCAGTGCTTGCCATGGTGGCATGGCTTAGAAGAAAATCCATTTCTTTTTCTTTTTTTCTTTTGTTGTTGTTGTTTTTGTTGACCTGCTTCCTTTCTGACCTGGGCTGATTCACCCTTCTTGAGCAATCTGGTGGTCCCTGGCTCCCCATTGCCATAGCACACTAAGGCCCAGAACTTGTGGGCTCAAGCCATCCTCCAGCTGCAGCCTCTTGGGAACTCAAGATGGGCATCACCATGCTGGCTCTCTTTTTCTCACTTGTTTAGCAGGGGAGGTAAGGAACCCACTGCACACTCAAGAGCATGTTTTATCTCATATGCTGATAGTCTCAAACGTGGTTTCAGCAAGCAGGCAAGATGATGCATTGGGTTGTAGGAAGAACATATTAGAAATTCTATTTTTCATCTGTGAAAGATGTTAAGCCTCACTAATATATAATATGTGGTACACACAATAATTCATAAATGAGAAAGTCTTATGTCATAAAGCATCCTAAGAGTCGGTGATACACATTTGGAGGAGATGATGGGGATACCCTTCTTTATTTTTCACTTTTATCCTGTTACAGGATCATAGACTAAATTAATTACCTTTCAGAAAATGGAATTGTTAATCTAAATGTAAGCCTTAAGATCATATCTTGTCCGGGCACGGTGGCTCACGCCTGTAATCCCAGCACTTTGGGAGGCCAAGGCAGGCCGATCACTTGAGGTTATGAGTTCGAGACCTGCCTGGCCAACATAGTGAAACCCCGTCTCTACTAAAAATACAAAAATTAGCCAGGCATGGTGGCGCACGCCTGTAGTCCCAGCTACTCGGGGGACTGAGGCAGGAGAAACACTTGAACCTGGGAGGCAGAGCTTGCAGTGAGCTGAGATCACGCCACTGCACTCCAGCCTGGGCGACAGAGCAAGACTCCATCTCCAAAAAAAAAAAGAAAAAAAAGATTTTACCTGATCAGGTAGATAACCAATCAGAATTATGATGTGGAGGTTAAAAGGTGACTTTCACCAGCCATGGTTCTAATCACTGAGGTTCTTAGATCGTGCAAGACTTCTTTTTTAGAAATAATACAGTAATGCCCTCTGCTGGGCACAGTGGCTCACACCACTTTGGGAGCCGAGGCACTTTGGGAGGCCGAGGCAGGCAGATCACCTGAGGTCGGGAGTTCGAGACCGGCCTGACCAACATGGTGAAACTCCATCTCTACTAAAAATAAAAAATTAGCCAGGCATGGTGGTGCATGCCTATAATCCCAGCTACTCAGGAGGCTGAGGCAGGAGAATCACTTGAACCCGGGAGGCAGAGGTTGCGGCAAGCCGAGATCGGGCCATTGCACTCCAGCCTGGGCAACAAGAGCGAAACTCCATCTCAAAAAAAAAAAAAGAAAGAAAAAGAAATAACACAGTAATGTCTTTTTTACAGTTATGGGAAAGAATGGCATGTTTTCCTGGTTAGCAGCCATTAGAGCCTACAGTTTGAAGACTACTAGAATTCCACTTTTTAATACGTGGAGAAAATAAAGGCAAGCCTGACAGTCTCAAAATTAAAGTGGAAAGAAAAGCAAAATTATTAACAAATAAAATACAGAGCTTGAAGTATCTTGCATCCACAACTATTTGTAATTTTGGGGTTTTTTTTGTTTTGTTTTGTTTTTTTTGAGACGGAGTTTTGCTCTTTTTGCCCAGGCTGGAGTGCAATGGCCCCATCTCGGCTTGCCGCAAACTCTGCCTCCCGGGTTCAAGTGATTCTCCTGCCTCAGCCTCTGGAGTAGCTGGGATTACAGGCATGCGCCACCACGCCAGGCTAATTTTGTATTTTTAGTAGAGACGGGTTTTGTCATGTTAGTCAGGCTGGTCTCAAACTCCTGACCTCACGTGATCTGCCTACCCCTGCCTCCCAAAGTGCTAGGATTACAGGCGTGAGCCACCGCGTCCGGCCGCTATTTGTAAATTTTTAAGCATTTTAGTATTTTTTACACTTGAAACAAAAAATGTTCACCAAAAGCAAGTAAATCAAGCAGGACTTTTGGAAACAGCAACCAACTCAATTACCAAAGATGTTTGTAAAACTAAAATAGTGCTAAAGAGCTCACATCTAATCACATACTACATTATGTGTTTCAAATCTATTTTAATTTTTTTTCAATCCTTTGCCACTACAGACAATGCCACACTAAATAATAATCTTTGCATGTCGTTTAACCTTTTTGCTAGTATCCTTGAAATAGATACTTTTTAAATGTTTTTTATAGAGAGGGAGTCTTGCTATGTTGGTCAGGTTAGTTTTGAACTCCTGGCCTCAAGCAATCCTCCTGCCTCAGCCTCCCAAAGTGGTAGGATTGCAGGTGCCCAGCCTTCTAGGACCTTTTGATAGAAAGAATTGTGCTTTGTCTTGAATTTAAGAAAAAATACAACATAGCTTCCTATATATTTTCCTCAAGTACAAACATAACTTTTATTTTATAAATATATATTAAAAAATAAATTTACTTAAAAGTCCAGCAGTGTGGCCGGCTGTGGTGGCTCACGCCTGTAATCCTAGCATTTTAGGAGGCCCATGCAGGAGGATTGCTTGAGCCCAGGAGTTCAAAAACAGCCTGGCCAACATAGCAAGACCCCATCGCTACAAAGATTACAAAATTAGCTGCGTGTGGTGGTGTGCACCTGTGGTGGCAGTTCCTCTGGAGCCTGAGGCTACAGGATTGCTTAAACCCAGGAGTTAGAGGCTGCAGTGAGCCAGGATTGTGCCACTGCACTCCAGCCTAGGTGACAGAGTAAGAACCTGTCTCTAAAAAAAAAAAAAAAATTTGAGGCCGGGCGCATTGGCTCACGCCTGTAATCCCAGCACTTTGGGAGGCAGAGGCGGGCGGATCAGGAGGTCAAGAGATCCAGACCATCCTGGCCAACCTGGTGAAACCCCGTCTCTACTAAAAATACAAAAATTAGCCAGGCATGGTGGCGGGTGCCTATAGTCCCAGCTGTTCAGGAGGCTGAGGCAGGAGAATCGCTTGAACCCGGGAGGCGGAAATTGCAGTGAGCCAAGATCGTGCCACTGCACTCCAGCCTGGGTGACAGAGCAAGACTGTCTCAAAAAAAAAAAAAGTTGAATTAAGTACTCCATGTGGCTGAGTCAGCATTTGAACCAATTCAGAGTCTATGTTTATAAATGTATGCCATATCGCTTCTCGGCCTTTCGGCTAAGATCAAATATAAATGAGTGCCATACTGCTTTTGCTTCACAGAAATGTCTTCTGCCTCATGCACCATTCTCTACTGTCATCTCCCACCTGAGAGAACACATAGAAGGGCTCAGCAAAATTCTCTGTAAAATGAGTACAGCAATTAATTTTTTCCTGGCAACATATGACACTCATTTTTCCCATATGTTATTTTTATTATGCTAATGCAATTCAAAAATCTGGCGAATATTTCATTAGTAAGATTAAAATGTCACCTTGGGAATTCTGGCTAGGTTACATGCCAAACCCTCTCTTCTTTGATAATCTTTTGGTGTTGGTAAACAATGCAAGCACAATGCCAATTATCTAGATCCAGATCATGTTTATCATTTAAGTGACAGAATGAGAATTCCTTCATCTTTTATGTATGGCTTTCTGTTTTGGAGTAAAGAATGCATTTTATTTTTGTTTCTCCTCAGACTATGAATAAAAGGGACTCTCAACAAACATTTGCTGAATAAATGAATGAACCCTCATCTTCTCTTAACCCACACCTTATAAAATCTTTCTCAACTACTCCAATTTTCCCTATTACTTTTTTTTTTAAACTAATCCCTCTGTTCACTCTCAACACTCCTTATTTTTCAGTGTTTGGTGCTTTGAGGGGAAAACAAAATATGTTCTTCAGTTTTACAATAGTTGGGAAAGAAAAAGGAGCATTTTTATTGTTTTGTTTCATCTGTGTTCCTTTTCTCTTGGATTCCACATGGCATCATGTAATCAATTTTTTGCTGCCTTGCACTGATTGCTCACAGTCTCATAT